>NC_000004.12:9116477-9272916 GCF_000001405.40 Homo sapiens
CACAGACGAGTTTGGGAACTACCGTGCTAGACTGAGCTCGGTTTCCTAGCCCTGTCTGACCGTAGGATTCGGCTGGGCTGCTTCTGAAAACAGAGCTCCCCAGGCTTCTTCCCAGGTAATTCTGATTCATTAGGTCTGGGGTGGGCCCCGGAATGTGCATTTTTTATGAGATCCCTCTGGGTGAATCAGGCTAAAGCCAGTTTGGGATCTGAGACCTTGGAGATCATTCCCCAACTTCCCTCCTAACGCAGTTCCCAGCTTGGCCCACCTCACCCAGGCTGTGTCACGTCTGACTTCACAGATTACACCTGAGAGGGAAGCCCCAGCCATCACAATGTGAGAACATTTTACAATGACCAGGATATGCCAAATACATTTTAAAACTCATTCAGGATTAGCGTTCACCTTAAACTTGACAGACTCTGAGAACGGGCTGGCCACGTGCTGTGCACAACCGTTAGTGCTCTTCTGTGACTAATATTTGGATAATTGATTGTTGGAAGCTCAGGAAGCCTCTCTCTCTCAGAGGGGTCGAATTTAATTTCTTTATTTCTGAGGTAGGGAAGAAAATGAGGATGTTCTGCCTTTTGCTAGACTGAATACTGTCCTCCAAAATTCATATTCACCAGGAATCCCGGAATGTACCCTTATTAGAAAATAGGGGCAGGGCATGGTGGCTCATGCTTGTAATCTTAGCACTTTGGGAGGCTGAGGCAGGAGGATCACTTGATGTCAGGAGATCGAGACCAGCCTGGCTAGCATGGCAAAACCCTGTCTCTACTAAAAACACAAAAATTAGCTAGGCATGGTGGTGTGCACCTGTAATCCCAGCTACTTCGGAGGCTGAGGCTGAAGAATCACTTGAACCCAGGAGGCAGAGTTGCAGCAAGCTGAGATTGTGTCACTGAACTCCAGCCTCGGCAACAGAGCAAGACTCCATCTCAAAAAAAGAAAAGAAAACAGGGTCACTGCAGATCTAATTACAAAGAGGTCATATTGGAATAGCGTGGACCTTAAATCGAGTAATAATGGCATTCCTCATGGGAAGAGAAGAAGAGACAGAGACACACAGAGGAGAAGGCCACATGAGAATGAAGGAAGAGAATGGAATGATGTGGCCACAAGCCAAGGATTGCCAGCAACCACCAGAAGCCAGAAGAGGCAAGGAAGGATTCATCCCTAGAGCCTTCAGAGGGAGCGCGGCCCTGCCCGTTTCAGACATCAAGCTTCTGGAACTGGAGAGAATGACTTTCTGTTGTCTTGAGCCACCCATTTGGGGAACTTTGTTAGAACAGTCACAGCCAGGTCATGTGCTCCTGAATGCATCTCAGGCATTAATAAGCACTGTCTTGGCCAGTCAGGGTGGCTCACCCTTGTAATCCCAGCACTTTGGGAGGCAGAGGTGGGTAGATCACCTGAGGTCAGGAGTTCGAGACCAGCCTGACCAACATGGAGAAACCCCATCTCTACTAAAAATACAAAAATTAGCTGGGTGTGGTGTTGTGCACCTGTAATCCCAGCTACTTGGGAGGCTGAGGCAAGAGAATCAGTTGAACCCTGGAGGCAGAGGTTGCAGTGAGCCAAGATTGTGCCAATGTACTCCAGCCTGGGCAACAAGAGCAAAACTCCGTCTCAAAAAAAATAATAAGTGCTGTCTTGACTGTGGTCATCAAAAATATTTGATGAAGGGTTAGCTAGAAAGCCTGACCCTTTCACAGATGGATGGAAGGGCCAAAAGAAAATAGATTGTTTGCAGTGGGGCAAGAAGGATAAGAATCCTATGGAAAAAAAAGAGGGAATTGTTTAGTGAGCGCTGGGGAGAGGCATTTGTTTTCTTGCTTAAAAAAGAAACACAGGTTGGGTGCGGTGGCTCAAGCCTTAATCCCAGCATTCTCGGAGGCCAAGGTGGGTGGATCACCTAAGGTCAGGGGTTCGAGACCAGCCTGGCCAACACCATGAAACCCCATCTCTACTAAAAAGACAAAAACAAAAGAAAGAAAGAAATTAGCCAGGCATGGTGGCGAGCGCCTGTAATCCCAGCTACTCGTGTGGCTGAGGCAGAGAATCACTTGAACCTGGGAGGCAGAGGTTGCAGTAAGCCAAGATGGCATCGTTGCATTCCAGCCTAGGCAACAAGAGTGAAACTCTGTCTCAAACGAAAGAAAGAAAGAAAGAAAGAAAGAAAGAAAGAAAGAAAGAAAGAAAGAAAGAAAAACATAGTTTTAAGTCCACTCAGTGGAGTTTAAAAATACATTCTCGTTGCACAGTGCTTTTGGAATCTTTTCTAAACTTCTGTTGCACATGATCTAATTTGATCTTCATAGCAACTCCCTGAGGTGGATAGGGGAGGCCTTTCTGAACACCTATTTTCTAGTTTGCATTAAAAGAACGGAATTGGCTGGGACCAGTGGCTCATGCCTATAATCCCAACACTTTGTGATACAGAAGGGAAGTGCTCAGAAGGGAAGAATGTGGTCCCTTTAAATGATATGGAAGTGAGGAAGGAAAGTACTGGGTAGAGGAGGGTGTGGTCCCTGGCTAGGGCTCCACCCCAGGGCCTGTGCCCACGGACCTAGGTGAGGACAGGCATTTTTGTTTTCCTGCCCAAATGTTGCATTTCCCAAGACCACCCTGGCTGCCACACCCCCATTCTGTGCCTATAAAAACCCTGAGACCCTAGCAGGCAGACACACAGGCAGCTGGACTTCGAGAGGAGCACATCAGCGGAGGAACACAAGGGTGCTGGATGTCAAAAGGAACGCACCAATGGGCACCGACACACCACAGGCCACTGACTGCAGAACAACGTAGAGTTTGGCTGGGACATTCGGAGAAGAGTCAGGCCACTCACCCGACTCCAGGGGTAAACCATCTCCCTTCTGGCTCCCCCATCTGCTGAAAGATACTTCCACTCAATAAAACCTTGCGCTCTCACGCCTGTAATTCCAGCACTTTGGGAGGCCGAGGCGGGCAGATCACGAGGTCAGGAGATCCAGACCATTCTGGCTAACACAGTGAAACCCCATCTCTACTAAAAATACAAAAAAATTAGGCAGGCTTGGTGGTGGGTGCCTGTAGTCCCAGCTACTTGGGAGGCTGAGGTAGGAGAATGGGGTCAACCGAGGAGGCGGAGCTTGCAGTGAGCTGAGATAGCACCACGTCCGGTACACCAAGGCAAGAACCCCGGGACAAAGAGATCCTTCTGTCCTTGCAATAAGACGGGGGTCTAATTGAGCCGACTAACACAAGCTACCTACAGACGGCTAAACTAAAAGAGCACCCTGTAACACACGCCCACTGGGGCTTCAACTATAAACATTCACCCCTGGACACTGCCATGGGGCTCCCTGCCTGTCTGCATGCTCCCCTAGAGGTTTGAGCAGTGGGGCACTGAATAAATGAACCACACCCGCATCGCATGCCCTTGGAGGGGGACAACGGAACATTTCCCATTTCATCTGAGAGGCCAAGGCAGGAGGATTGCTTGAGCCCATGAGTTTGAGACCAGCCTACACAACATAGCAAGACCCCATCTCTACAAAAAAAAGTAAACAACAAAAAAGGATTAAAAATTAGCCAGCTGTGGTGACACACACCTGTAGTCTCAGCTACTCAGGAGGCTGATGTGGAAGGACTGATTGAGCCCAGGAGATTGAGGCTGCAGTGAGCCAAGATTGAACCACTGCACTCCAGCCTGGGCGACAGAGTGACACCCTGTTTCGATAACAGCAAAAAGAATGGAACAAAATCACTTCTCAAATAGCTAGCAGAGGCAGATCTGGTTCTCAAATGCAGGTTTTCCAGGTTTCAATTCTTGTTTCTAGCAGTATTATGGAGAAACATGATCACTAATACATGAAGGAGAGGAGGTTTCAAGTTCTGATGAAAAGATGGTAAAGAGAGGAGTTAGTTGACTAGGAGTGACTAGGAATAGGAAGAAAACGCATGACACTACTTAGAGGAAAGAAGAAAAATAAACATAGAGGTGACTGAGCGGACAGAAAGGACTTGGAAGAAGCGTGTTTGGCCCTGTCTCTAAATTTTTTCCCTTGCTTTAGTAACTTCCCTGATGACTTGGATGAATCTTCTCTTCCAGGGTACCTAGTGTTCCCTTTCTGTCCACTTCTCCCTTCCCAGGGCCCATACAGTCTGGGAAAGCATGCTCTGCAGGCTTCTCATATCTTTCCTTCCTTAATCAGCCCCTGGCATCTCTACATAACCCATATGCACCTGGAGTTCCACATGTCCCAGTCTTTGCACTGCAGTGAATTCAAAGAATGGTAGACTCTAGCTGGGCGCACGGGCTCACACCTGTAATCCCAGCACTTTGGAAGGCTGAGGCAGGTGGATCACTTGAGCCCAGGAGTTCAAGACCAGGCCTGGCCAACATGGTGAAACCCCATCTCTACTAAAAATACAAAAATTAGCTGGGCTTGGTGGTACATGCCCAGTAGTCCTAGCTTTTGTGGAGGCTGAGGCAGAAGAATTGCTGGGACCCAGGAGGCAGAGGTTGCAGTGAGCTGAGGTTGTGCCACTGCACTCCAGCAGCCTGGGCAACAGAGCAAGGCCCAGTCTCAAAAAAACTCAAAGACAAAACTAAACCAAAAACAAACAAACAAACAAACAAACAAAAAACATAAAGCGCGCACACGCACAAAAACAAAGGTACACTCCAATAGGAAAAATTCACTCAAAAGCAATTCAAATAATTATTCAGTCAACCCAGTTCTATCTCAGTTCTTTATTATATATATAAACTTATTCTGTCCAGATTCCCTAGTTTTCTTTTTCTTATATTTTTTGTTTTCTTTTGAGACAGGACCTCACTCTGTCACCCAGGCAGGAGTATAGTGGCACAATCATGGCTCACTGTACCCTCAACCTCCTGAGCTGAAGTAGTTCTCCCACCTCAGCCTCCCAAGTAACTGGGACTACAGGTGCATGCCACCATGCTCAGCAACTTTTTCTATTTTTTGTAGAAATGGGGTCTCACTATGAGGGCCAGGCTGGTCTTGAACTTCTGGACTCAAGAAGTCCACCTGCCTCAACCTCCCAAAGTGCCAAGATTACAAGCATGAGTCACTGCATCTGGCTGATTCCTTAGTTTTCTTTTTCTCTTTGCGCATTGACTGGATTCCATAAGCAGAAGGAAAACCCAGGGGCTGACTTTGTAGGCAAGATTCTCCTCTTCAAAACGTAAATTGGCTCAAGTGGTACCAAAACTGAAACATGTTTATAACTTAACATCTTTTCTTCCTACCCTTTCAATCTCTTGAGCAATGAGAAAAGGCACTGGGCTCTTCATTTGTGTAGGGAAAAGAAAGAGAGATCAGACTGTCACTGTGTCTATGTAGAAAGGGAAGACATAAGAGACTCCATTTTGAAAAAGATCTGTACTTTAAACAATTGCTTTGCAGAGATGTTGTTCATTTGTAGCTTTGCCCCAGCCACTTTGCCCCAACCACTTTGACCCAACTTGGAGTTCCCAAACATGTGTTGTATAAAATCAAGGTTTAAGGGATCTAGGGCTGTGCACGACGTGCCTTGTTATCAAAATGTTTACAAGCAGTATACTTGTAAAAGTCATTGCCATTCTCTAGTCTCAATAAACCAGGGGCACAATACACTGTGGAAAGCCGCAGGGACCTCTGCCCTTGAAAGCAGGGTATTGTCCAAGGTTTCTCCCCATGTGATAATCTGAAATATGGCCTCGTGGGATGAGAAAGACCTGACTGTCCCCCAGCCCGATACCTGTAAAAGGTCTGTGCTGAGGTGAATTAGTACAAGAGGAAAGCCTCTTGCATTTGAGATGGAGGAAGACCACTGTCTCCTGCCTGCCCCTGGGAACTCAAAGTCTCGGTGTAAAACCCGATTGTGCATTTGTTCAAGTCTTAGATAGGAGAAAAGCTGCCCTGTGACAGGAGGCGAGACATGTTTGCAGCAATGCTGCCTTGTTATTCTTTACACCACTGAGATGTTTGGGTGGAGAGAAACATAAATCTGGCTTACGTACACGTCCAGGCATAGTACCTTCCCTTGAACTTATTTATGATATAGATTCTTTGGCTCACATGTTTTTTGTTGACCTCCTTATTATCACCCTGCTCTCCTATTACATTCCTTTTTGCTGAAATAATGAAAATCATAATCAATAAAAACTGAGGGAACTCAGAGCCCGGTGCCGGTGCATGTCCTTGGTGTGCTGAGTGCCGGTCCCCTGGACCCACTGTTGTTTCTCTATACTTTGTCTCTGTGTCTTATTTCTTTTCTCCGTCTCTCATCCCACCCGACTAGAAATACCCACAGGTGTGGAGGGGCAGGCCACCCCTTCATCTGGAGCCCAGCTTGGGGCCCTTCTGTAGGGTGAAGGTACTCTAAGAACGTGAGCATTGAGGACAGCCGACGAGAGATTCCCTAGTACGTCCACAGTCAGCCTTGTGGTTAGCTTGTGCGCTCAGAGGAATCCAGGGTAACAATGGGGCAAACTGAAAGTAAATATGCTTCTTATCTCAGCTTCATTAAAATTATCTTAAGAAGAGGGGGAGTTAAAGCTTCTACAGAAAATCTAGTTACGCTGTTTCAAACAATAGAACAATTCTGCCCATGGTTTCCAGAACAGGGAACTTAATATTTAAAAGATTGGGAAAAAAT
The DNA here is from genome assembly GCF_000001405.40 of Homo sapiens. Taxonomy (NCBI): domain Eukaryota; kingdom Metazoa; phylum Chordata; class Mammalia; order Primates; family Hominidae; genus Homo; species Homo sapiens. The sequence goes on from NC_000004.12 coordinate 9,123,129, forward strand.
TGGCAAAGAACTAAAACAAGCAATTAGGGAAGGTAAAATCATCCCACTTACAGCATGGAATGATTGGGCCATTATTAAAGCAACTTTAGAACCATTTCAAATAGAAGAAGATAGCGTTTCAGTCTTTGATGCCTCTGAAAGCTGTGTAATAGATTGTGAAGAAGAGGCAGGAACAGAGTTTAAGAAAGGAATGGAAAGTACACATTGTAAAAATGCAGTAGAGCCTGTACTGGCTTGGTCAATGCAGAATGTTGACTATAATCAATTACAGGAGGTAATATATCCTGAATCATCAAAATTGGGAGAAGGAGGTCCAGAATTATTTGGGCCATCAGAGTTTAGACCACGATGGCCACCAACTCCTTCTCCCGCGGTTCAGATGCCTTTGATGTCACAATCTCAAATGCCAATCCAGGCACAGTATCCGCAATACCAGCCAGTAGAAAATAAAACCCAACCATCGGTAGTTTATCAACACAAGCCGTCAGCCGTATTTCAGTATCCGCCGTCTCCAGAGGTTCAGTATGGATCTCAGGCGGTGCGTCCTGTGCCAAATAGCAAGGCACTATATCAACAACCCAAGGCGATGGCGTTTGATCTTACAGTACCACCTAGTGGACAAGGTAGTGCACTGCATGAGACCATTGCTACAGCCAGAAAACAGGGAGATCTTGAGGCATGGCAATATCCGGGAATGTTACAAACAATGCCGGCCGGGAAAGGGAGTCAAGCAAGAGCGTCTGTCTGAACCAAGACTAGATATGAATCTATCACCATAAAAAAATTTAAAAGATATGAAGGAAGGAGTTAAACAATATGGACCTAACTCTCCTTATATGAGAACACTATTAGATTCCATTGCTCATGGAAATAGACTTATTTCTTATGATTGGGAAATTTTGGCTAAATCTTCCCTTTCACCCTCTCAGTATCTACAGTTTAAAACCTGGTGGAATGATGGGGTACAAGAACAGCTACGAAAAAATCAGGCTACTAATCCTGTTGCTTATATAGATGCAGACCAATTGCTAAGAACAGGTCCAAATTGGGGCACTACTAACCAACAATCAGTAATGAAAATCAGGCTATTGAACAACTAAGGGCTATTTGCCTCAGGGCCTGGGAAAAGATTCAGGACCCAGGAACCTCATGCCCTTCTTTTAGTTCAATCAGACAAGGCTCTAAAGAGCCATATCCAGACTTCGTGGCAAGGTTGCAAGATGCGGCTCAAAAATCCATTGCAGGTAATAACGCCCGAAAAGTTATTGTAGAAACAATGGCTTATCAAAACGCAAATCCAGAGTGTCAATCAGCCATAAAGCCATTAAGAGAAAAGGTTTCAGCAGGAGTTGATGTAATTACAGAATATGTGAAGGCTTGTGATGGGATTGGAGGAGCTATGCATAAGGCAATGCTATTGGCTCAAGCAATTACAGGGGTTGCTTTAGGAGGACAAGTTAAAACATTTGGGGGAAAATGTTATAATTGTGGTCAAATCGGTCATCTAAAAAAGAATTGCCCAGGCTTAAATAAACAGAGCAAAAAAAAAAAAAATAGAGCCACCTGGCCTGTGTCCAAGATGTGGAAAAGGAAAACACTGGGCTAAGGAATGTCGTTCTAAATTTGATAAAAATGGACAACCATTGTCGGGAAACGGGGAAGAGGGGTCAGCCCCAGGCCCCGCAACAAAGTGGGGCATTCCCGATTCAGCCATTTGTTCCTCAGGGTTTTCAGGGACAACAACCCCCACAGTAAATACCACCATTTCAGGAAATCAGCCAATTACAATACGACAATTATCCCCTGCCACAGCAGGCAGTGCTGCCGTAGATTTATGTTCTACTCAAATGATTTCTTTACTCCCTGGAGAGCCCCCTCAAAAGATTCCTACAGGGGTATATGGGCCGCTGCCAGAAGGGATGGTAGGCCTTATTTTAGGAAGATCTAGTCTAAATTTGAAAGGAGTTCAAATTCATACTGGGGTAATTGACTCAGATTATAAAGGGGAAATTCAGTTAGTGATCAGCTCTACTGTTCCCTGGAGTGCCAATCCAGGTGATAGAATTGCTCAATTACTGCTCTTGCCTTATATTAAAATTGGGGATAGCAAAACAGAAACAGGAGTGTTTGGAAGTACCAACACTGCTGGAAAAGCTGTTTATTGGGCTAGTCAGCTCTCAGAGAATAGACCTGTGTGTACAGTTACTATTCAGGGAAAACAGTTTGAAGGATTAGTGGATACTGGGGCTGATGTTTCCATCATTGCCTTAAATCAATGGCAAAAAAATCAGCCTAAACAAAAGCCTGTTACAGGATTTGTTGGTGTGGGCACTGCCTCAGAAGTGTATCAAAGTGCCAGGATTTTACATTGTCTAGGACCTGATAATCAAGAGACTACAGTTCAGCCTATGATTACTTCTATTCTAATTAATTTATGGGGTCGAGACTTATTAGAACAGTGGCATGCAGAGATTACTATTCCAGTCTCTCTATACAGCCCCACGAGTCAAAAAATCATGACTAAAATGGGATATCTCCCTGGCAAAGGACTAGGGAAAAATGGAGAAGGCATTAAAATTCCAATTGAGGCTAAGGGAAATCCAGAAAGAAAAGGACTAGGGTTTCCTTTTTAGGGGTGGTCACTGTAGAGCCTCCAAAACCCATTCCAGTAACTTGGAAAACAGAAATGCCTTTATGGGTAAGTCAGTGGTCACTGCCAAAACAAAAGCTGGAGGCCTTACACTTATTGGCAAAAGAACAATTAGAAAAGGGACATATTGAGCATTCATTTTCGCCTTGGAATTTTCCTGTGTTTGTAATTCAGAAAAAAATCAGGCAGATGGCGCATGTTAACTGATTTAAGAGCTGTTAATGCAGTAATTCAACCCATGGGGTCTCTCCAACCTGGGCTGCCCTGTCCAGCCATCATCCCCAAAGATTGGCCTTTAATTACAGTTGATCTGAAGTATTGCTTTTTTACCATTCCTCTGGCAAAACAGGATTTTGAAAAATTTGCTTTTACTATACCAGCCATAAATATTAAAGAACCAGCCACTAGATTTCTGTGGAAAGTGTTGCCCCAGGGAATGCTTAATAGTCCAACTATTTGTCAGACTTTTGTAGCTCAAGTTCTTCAACCAGTTAGAGACAAGTTTTCAGACTGTTATATCATTCATTATGTTGATGATATTTTGTGTGCTTCAGAAACAAGAGACAAATTAATTGACTGTTACACATTTCTGCAGACAGAGGTTGCAAACGCAGGCCTGACAATAGCATCTGATAAGATTCAGACCTCCACTCCTTTTCATTATTTGGGAATGCAGGTAGAGGAGAGAAAAATTAAACCACAAAAAGTAGAAATAAGAAAAGACACATTAAGAACATTAAATGACTTTCAAAAATTGCTAGGAGATATTAATTGGATTCGGCCAACTCTAGGCATCCGTACTTATCCCATGTCAACTTTGTTCTCTATCTTGAGAGGGGATCCAGACTTAAATAGTAAAAGAACATTAACTCCAGGGGCAACTAAAGAAATTGAATTAGTTGAAGAAAAAATTCAGTCAGCAAAAGTAAATAGAATAGATCACTTAGCCCCACTCCAACTTTTCATTTTTGCTACTGCACATTCTCCAACAGGCATTATTGTTCAAAATACAGATCTTGAGGAGTGGTCATTCCTTCCTCACAGTACAGTTAAGACTTTTACATTGTACTTAGATCAAATGGCTACATTAATTGGTCAGGCAAGACTATGAATAGTAAAATTGTGTGGAAATGACCCAGATAAAATCATTGTTTCTTTAAACAAGGAGCAGGTTAGACAAGCCTTTATCAATTCTGGTGCAGGGCAGATTGGTCTTGCTGATTTTGTGGGAATTATTGATAATCATTAACCAAAAGCAAAAATCTTCCAGTTTTTGAAATTGACTACTTGGATTTTACCTAAAATTACCAGACAAAAACCTCTAGAAAATGCTCTGACGGTGTTTACTGATGGTTCCAGCAATGGAAAAGTGGCTTACACTGGACCAAAAGAACAAGTTATTGAAACTCAATATCACTCAGCTCAAAGAGCAGAATTGGTTGCTGTCATTTCAGTGTTACAAGATTTTAATCAGTCTATTAACATTGTTTCAGATTCTGCATATGTAGTACAGGTTACAAAGGATGTTGAGACAGCCCTAATCAAATATAGTGTGGATGATCAGTTAAATCAGCTGTTTAAATTGTTACAACAAACTGTAAGAAAAAGAAATTTCCCATTTTATATGGCTCATATCCGAGCACATACTAATTTACCAGGGCCTTTAACTAAGGCAAATGAACAAGCTGACTTGCTAGTATCATCTGCCTTCATGGAAGCACAAGAACTTCAGGCCCTGACTCATGTAAATGCAACAGGATTAAAAAACAAATTTGATATCACATGGAAACAAGCAAAAAATGTTGTACAACATTATGCTCAGTGTCAAGTCTTACACCTGCCCGCTCAAGAGGCAGGAGTTAATCCTAGAGGTTTAAGTCCTGATGCATTATGGCAAATGAACGTCACACATGTACCTTCATTTGGAAAATTGTCACTTGTCCATGTGACAGTTGATACTTATTCACATTTCATATGCGCAACCTGCCAGACAGGAGAAAGTACTTCCCATGTTAAAAGACATTTATTATCTTGTTTTGCAGTCAGTGGATTTCCAGAAAAAATTAAAACAGATAATGGGCCAGGATACTGTAGTAAAGCATTTCAAAAATTCTTAAATCAGTGGAAAATTACACATACAACAGGAATCCCTAATTTCCAAGGACAGGCTATAATGGAAACAACTAATAGAACACTCGAAGCTCAATTGGTTAAACAAAAAAAGGAAAAAGTAAGGAATATAACACTCCCCAGATGCAACTTAATCTAGCACTCTATACTTTAAATTTTTTAAATATATATAGAAATCAGACCATTACTTCTGCAGAACAACATTTTACTGGTAAAAAGAACAGCCCACATGAGGGAAAACTGATTTGGTGGAAAGACAACAAAATAAAACATGGGAAATAGGTAAGGTGATAACATGGGGGGGAGGTTTTGCTTGTGTTTCACCAGGAGAAAATCAGCTTCCTGTTTGGCTACCCACTAGACATTTGAAGTTCTATAATGAACCCATCAGAGATGCAAGGGAAGGCGCCTCCGCAGAGACAGAGAACCCGCAATCGAACATCAACGACTCGCAGGGTGAACAAAATGGTGATATCAGAAGGACAGATGAAGTTGCCATCCACCAAGAAAGTGGGGCCGCCGACCTGGGCCCAGCTAAAGAAGCTGACACAGTTAGCTGAAAAAAGCCTGGAAAACACAAGGGTAACACAGACTCCAGAGAATATGCTTCTTGCAGCTTTAATGATTGTATCAACGGTGGTTAAGTCTCCCTATGTCTTCAGGAGCCGCTACAGCTAACTATACTTACTGGGCCTATGTGATTTTCCCACCCTTAATTCGGGCAGTCACTTGGATAGATAATCCTATTAAAGTATATGTTAATAACAGTGAATGGGTACCAGGCCCCACAGATGACCGTGGCCCTGCCCAACCTGAAGAAGAAGGAATGATGATAAACATTTCCATTGGGTATCATTATCCTCCTATTTGCCTGGGAAAAGCACCAGGATGCTTAATGCCTACAATCCAAAATTGGTTGATAGAAGTACCTACTGTCAGTGCCACCAGTAAATTTACTTATCATATGATAAGTGGAATGTCACTCGGGTCACAAATGAATCATTTACAGAATTCTTCCTATCAAAGATCATTAAAATTTAGGCCTAAAGGAAACCATGCCCCAAGGAAATTCCAAAAGAATCAAAAGACCCAGAAGTCTTAGTTTGGGAAGAATGTGTGGCTGATACTGCAGTGGTACTACAAAACAATAAATTTGGAACTATTATAGACTAGGCCCCTCGAGGCCAATTATATTATGACTCTATGGGCCAGACCCACTCATGTTCACAGGCTCCATCTGCCTGGCCCACTAATCCGGCCTATGATAGTGATTTAACTAAAAGGCTAGACTAGGTTTATAGAAGGTGAGAATCACCCTATCCATGGAAATGGGGTGAAAAGAGGATTTCATCACCCCGACCAAAGTTAGTTAGTCCTGTTGTTGGTCCTGAACACCCAGAATTATGGAAGCTCACTGTGGCCTCGTACCACATTAGAATTTTGTCTGGAAATCAAGTTATGGGAACAAGAAACCATAAGCCATATTATACTATTAACCTAAATTACAATCTGAAAATTCCTTTGCAAAGTTGTGTAAAACCCCCTTATATGCTAGTTGTAGGAAACATAGCTATTAAACCAGATTCCCAAACTACAAGCAGTGAAAATTGTAGATTGTTTACTTGCATTGATTCAACTTTTGATTGGTAGAATGGTATTCTGTTAGTAAGGGCAAGAGAAGGCGTGTGGATCCCTTTGTCCATGGATCGACCATGGGACGCTTCTCCATCCGTACATATCTTAAGTATTAAAAGGAGTTCTAACTAGATCTAAAAGATCCATTTTTACTTTGATTGCAGTGATTGTGGGTCTTATTGCAGTCACAGCTACTGCTGCGGCTGCTGGAATTTCTTTACACTCCTCTGTTCAAACTGCAGAATATGTGAATAATTGGCAAAAGAATTCCTCAAAATTGTGGAATTCTCAGACTCAAATAGATCAAAAATTGGCAAATCAAATTAATGATCTTAGACAAACTGTTATTTGGATGGGAGATAGGCTCATGAGCTTAGAATATCTTTTTCAGTTACAGTGTGACTGGAATACGTCAGATTTTTGTATTAAACCTTGAGCCTATAATGAACCTGAACATCACTGGGACATGGTTAGACGCCATCTACAAGGAAGAGAAGATAATCTTACCTTAGATATTTCTAAATTGAAAGAACAAATTTTTGAAACCTCAAAAGCCCAGTTAAATCTGGTGTCAGAAACGGAGGCAATGGTAAAAGCTGTTGATAGCCTCACAAATCTTAACCCTGTCACTTGGGTTAAAACCATTGGAAATTCCACTATTGCAAATTTTGTATTAATTTTTGTATGTCTGTCCTCTCTATTGTTAGTCTACAGGTGTATCCAGCAGCTCCGGAGAGACAGCGACCAGTGAGAAGGGGCCATGATGACGATGGCGGTTTTGTTAAAAAGAAAAGGGGGAAATGTAGGGAAAAGAGAGAGATCAGACTGTCACTGTGTCTATGTAGAAAGGGAAGACATAAGAGACTCCACTTTGAAAAAGACCTGTACTCTAACAATTGCTTTGCTGAGATGTTGTTCATTTGTAGCTTTGCCCCAGCCACTTTGCCCCAGTCACTTTGACCCAACTTGGAGTTCACAAAAACATGTGTTGTCTAAAATCAAGGTTTAAGGGATCTAGGGCTGTGCAGGACGTGCCTTGTTAACCAAATGTTTACAAGCAGTAAAGTTGGTAAAAGTCATTGCCATTCTCTAGTCACAATAAACCAGGGGCACAATGCACAGTGGAGAGCCGCAGGGAGCCCTGCCCTTGAAAGCAGGGTTTTGTCCAAGGTTTCTCCCCATGTGATAGTCTGAAATATGGCCTCATGGAATGAGAAAGACCTGACTGTCCCCCAGCCTGACACCCGTAAAGGGTCTGTGCTGAGGCGGATTAGTAAAAGAGGAAAGCCTCTTGCAGTTGAGATGGAGGAAGGCCACTGTCTCCTGCTTGCCCCTGGGAATTGAATGTCTCGGTGTAAACCCGATTGTACATTTGTTCAAGTCTGAGCTAGGATAAAAGCTGCCCTGTGGCGGGAGGCGAGACATGTTGCAGTAATGCTGCCATGTTATTCTTTACTCCACTGAGATGTTTGGGTGGAGAGAAACATAAATGTCGACTACATGCAAGTCCAGTCATATACCTTCCCTTGAACTTAATTATGATATAGATTATTTTGCTCACATGTTTTTTGTTGACATTCTGCTTATTATCACCCTGCTCTCCTATTACATTCCTTTTTGCTGAAATAATGAAAATCATAATCAATAAAAACTGAGGGAACTCAGAGGCCAGTGCTCGTGCAGGTCCTGGTGTGCTGAGTGCCAGTCCCCTGGACCCACTGTTGTTTCCCTGTACTTTGTCTCTGTGTCTTATTTCTTTTCTCTGTCTCTCATCCCACCCGACTAGAAATACCCACAGGTGTGGAGGGGCAGGCCACCCCTTCAATTTGGTGACACATAGCCTGTGGCCTCAAAGAACACTGACACGCCGGTAACATCCATTCGAAGAGCTTCTCCGTACCTCCCCTCCTTTATCCCCAAGGTCTCTGGGTCAGAGATCACTGAGTCATTCACAACATGATGTTTAACACCGAGACGCTCTGGAATTGCTCCTTCAAGATGACTCAGAAGAAGACCCAGTGCTGAGACAATCGTGTTCTCTCTCTTTCTGGATCACCGCCCAGAGACAAGGACTGCCAGAGACCCTGGCTTCCACAGCTGCTGCCTCCCATTCCTGCGCCTGTGGGATGAGAGTTTGAAGCTGTGTGACCTTGAACAAGTTACTTACCCTCTCTAAGCATGTTTCCCTAAATGTGAAATAGGGATGATGGTGATGTGTTTATTTCACAGATTTGATAGAAGGATGAAATGAGAGATGCATCAAAAGCAGTGGGCACAGGGTCAATGCTCAGTGAGCTTTCTGTTTTCTTATCAATAGACAGGTCTCCATGAGGACAGAGACTGGCTTCATCTCGACTGTAGCCTCAGGGCTGGCCACAGTGTCTGCACCCAGCAGGACTTCAGTAAATATCTGTTTATACACTAACCACAGACTTAGGCATAAAAGCCCTTTGGAAGAAAGTTGACCATTTCATGCACCTTCAGACTATGAAGAGCAATGATGACAACTTTAGCTCGAGAGGGTCTCAGTGCCTATTCATCACCACTGTGAAAAGGCAGAAACCAGAGCTGTATGTTTAACTCCCAGCCCCAAAACCTGTTGGCTTTGCTTTATCACTATGAACTCCCAATGCCATCCCTTTAGAATGGGACCTCTCTCTTCTTCCCCAAGGCACCAGCCTTCACCCCAGACCTCTCCTTATTAGCTGGTGCCTCCTCTCTGTACTCTGAGCCCATGCTGTGCTCGTCAGATAGCAACATGGGAGAATACAGCAGCCCAGAATGCAGGCTGCAGAGTTAGGTCCCCAGAACAGGATCTCAGCCGGATCCATCCTTCCTCAGCTGGGCGACCGTGGCCATTGACTTCCTCTCTGTGCCTCAGTTGCTCCATCTGTGAAATGACGATTGTCATAGTCCCTGCTTCAAAGAGTCACTGGGAGGATTAACTGAGAAAATGCAGGGAAGGTGCTTGGAACTAAATGCTCCAAAAAAGTCCATCTGGCCAGGTACGGTGTCTCACGCCTGTAATCCCAGCACTTCGGGAGACCGAGGCAGGTGGATCACTTGAGGTCAGGAATTCAAGACCAGCCTGGTCAACATGGCAAAACCCTGACTCTACTAAAAACACAAAAATTAGCCAGGCATGGTGGCAGGCACCTGTAATCCCAACTACTTGGGAGGCTGAGGCAAGAGAATCTCTTGAACCTGGGGGGCAGAGTTTGCAGTGAGCCAAGATGGTGCCACTGCACTTCAGCATGGGCAACAAGAGCAAAACTCTGTCTCAAACAAAAAAAAAGTCCATCATTCTTATTAATGGAGGACAAATCATCTCAGTGCTTCTTTGGCTGATCAGTACACTCCAAGCCAGTGTTATCCAAAAGACCAGAGGTCCCCATCCCCCAGACAACAGACCAGTAGCGGTCTGTGGCCTGTTAGGAACTGGGCTGCACAGAAGGAGGTGAGCAGTGGGCTAGCGAGTGAAGCTTCATCTGTATTTACAGCTGCTCCCCATGGCTAGCGTTACCACCTGAGCTCTGTCTCCTGTCAGATCAGCAGTGGCATTAGATTCTCATAGGAGCACCAACCCTATTGTGAACTGCATGTGGAAGGGATCTAGGTTGTGTGCTCCTTATGAGAATCTAATGCCTGATGATCTGTCACTGTCTCCCACCACCCGGAGATGGGATTATCTAGTTGCAGGAAAACAAGCTCAGGGCTCCCACTGATTCTACATTATGGTGAGTTGTATAATGATTTCATTATATATTAAAATGTTCATAACAATAGAAATGAAGTACACAATAAATGTAATGCACTTGAATCATACTGAAACTTCCCCCCACAAATACATGGAAACTGGTCCTTGGTGCTAAAAAAATTGGGCACCACTACACTAGACTATTCAGTCACTGTCCAATCAAACATTCTGCAATGGCGGGCTTGCTCCACTCTGCACTGTCCAACATGGGAGCTGCTAGCCACCCACATGGGCTGTTGAGCCCTTGAAATGTGGCTGGTGAGAATGAAGAACTGAATTTTCAATTTTCTCTTAACTATTTTTTTTTTTTTTCAGACAGAGTCTCACTCTATCCTCCAGGCTGGAGTGCAGTGGTGCAATCTCGTCTCACTGCAACCTCCATCTCCTGGGTTCAAGCAATTCTCTTGCCTCAGCCTCCTGAGTAGCCAGGATTACAGGAACCCGCCATCATGCCCGGCTAATTTTTGTATTTTTGTAGAGACGAGATTTCACCACGTTGGCCAGGCTGATCTTGAACGCCTGACCTCAGGTGATCTGCCCATCTTGGCCTCCCAAAATGCTGGGATTACAGTTGTGAGCCACCATGCATGCCCTTAATTCATTTCTAAATCACGAAATCTAAACAAGTGGATAGGAACTACCATAGTGTACAAGGCAGCTGTAGAATCACAGGAAATTGTCAATGACCCTGTCCTGCTTCAAGTTGACTTTTCTCCCTCATGGTGAGACTCTAGATTCTTTCCTCTTCTCTCACATTTTTTAGACTTTCAGGCCGAGACCATGAAAATAAGTTATGTCCTTCCAAGAAAATAACGTTCATAACACTTACTGTATACCAGGCTGATTTCAGTGCTTTACCTCTATTAATTTACAACAACTCTGAGGCAGGAGCTGTAATTATGCCCATTTAACAGATGACAAAACTGAGGCACAAAGCGGTGCTGGAACTTCTCAAAGTCGCACAGGTAGCAGGAGGCAGAGTTCGGATTTGAACTCACTTCAGGTTCAGCAACTCACAGCTCTCACCTATGACATAATATTACTTCTGTGGTCAAAACACTTAGACCTGGATTTCACAGGAATCTTGTGCTTGCCTGGCTGCTAGGGAGGTTTTCATCATCTTCCTTATCTCACAGTTCAAAACCCAGGGCCTCCAAGCTCTTGCTACGGTGGCCGTTCACTGGCAGGAGGCTTCTGGGAAGGTTCTCCTTTTCTGTCATTTTTCTTATTCGTGTTTTTTTGTCTCATTGGTGTTTATCTGCAGAACTTTGTTTCCTTCTGCTCAATTCATAATCAGAGTGCTTTTCCTCCTGGCTGAATTCATAAGTGTTTATGCAAAAAGAGGTTGGCGCAGAGCCAGGCGACTGACGACACCCGGCTCATCTGCCAAGTGGATATCAAATTGTTGCATCTCGTTCTGCCATTCACAGCTCCTGCTGTGGGGCTGGGTCATCTGCCAGCTCTCCAAGGAGCTGGCGGGAAACCGCTGCAATCAGAGCCAACCCAGGGCCCGTGTGAGCCCGCCTTGGCACAGCACTCCAGCTGCCCCCAGTGCCTTTTGGGGACACATCTGCTTTGCCAGGCAGGGCTGTGGGAAGGCCGCCTGCCTCCTGTCCATCACAGGGAAAACCTACCCTTGTCCCGCGTCCCTTCCAGGAAGCCTGTGTGGAGATTGCTGCATTCACCTTTAATATGGCTAAAATGTTTTCCTTCAATGACAGTAATGCTGCCAGAACCCATCAAGACACCCAGGAACTGATGTGCCTTGGCAGATGATGCTGGAAAGATGGGATTCCCGGCAGCCTTTGCATCCCTTGCTCACAGCCCACGAGCATCTCCACTGTCCAGCAGGTCAGGGCACAGTCTCTCTCTCTCTCTCTCTCTCTCTCTCTCTCTCTCTCTCTCTCTCTCTCTCTCACGGTCTCTCTCTCTCACGATCTCTCTCTCTCATGGTCAGGGCAGAAAGAGAGAGAGTCCATCTGGAGCAGACTCGGATTTTAAATGAGTGTTCCCGATAATTTAACATGATCAATGGCTGAGGTATTTCACCAAGTTCAGGAGTCCCAGTTCTCAGAGAGAGACAGCCAGCCATGAGTGTAAGACCTGGTCAAACCGTACAAACCAGACAGCAGGTCTCGCACCTCCCCAGAGAGCTCCAGAGAATATCAAAGAGTGAAACAGCAGAGGGATGGTCTGGGTGGGGTCTTCGTGGCTGGTAAGGGTCTGTGACAGCACCTTGTTAGGCTACCCCCAAGAGGAAATTTGGAGAGAGGGTGGGAGGGCAGCTCTCAGTGCAAGCTAAGTCTCCTGGAAAGTAACTTCCAAACTTTGGAGGATTGTGAGCAAGATGGGACCAACTTCTACCTAAAAGCAACTTCTACCTAAAAGAATGTTAATAGAAAGATAACTCATCCTAATATTGGTCCAAGCTGGGTCTTTATTATGCATCATAAAGGCTCTGAGAATAACAATGTAACCTCCAAAAGGGCTGCGGGCTTTGAGGAATCTCAGGCAACTCGCTTCCTTCTGCTCAGTGACTCCCCTGGAGCACAGCAAAGCAAGGAAACACTTAGAGCCAAGCTTGAGTTCTGAATTTCAAATACAGGGCGTCCATCTCTTTCTACCCAATTGTTCCCTAGTTGAGTAACTAACTCCTTCCCCTTAACGGCACGTACTTCCTACCAAAGCAGAAGCGCGACGGGCTGTCCATGAGCCTCCCCAAAACATGTGCACCTTGTGACATAAATTCTGTCACCCAAAGAGACCAGACAAAATGCAAAACCAAAGTGGAGCCTTTCCTTGAATTATAGGTTCTAAAGAGTTTTGGACCCTCTACAAAACCCAAGAGTTAGGAATTGCCTGTAAGAAGCACCAGCTCTTGTTTTAAAGAGGCAATTTAAGAATAATAGCCATGCTGATGCCACACTACGCTAAGGGAGAATAATGAACCTAATAAAACTAGCGATTTTCCAATTGCTTTTGCTGCTGGAAACACTGATTATGCTAATTAAAGTGTAGAATAGTAAATACCCACTGTTTTGCATCCAATTAAGTGTTCAGATTATTTCTCAGAAGTATTTGTTAAAAATAGCACTTCGGATAATCATGGGTCCCAAATAAACAGAGTCAATTGTGGTGTGGTACATATGTGAGTGTGTGTGTGTGTGTGTGTGTGTGTGTGTGCGCACATGTCTTTCTGGAGCTCATTTTATGGAGATCCCGCATAGCTCCCCAAATTCCTGTGAGAACAAATAAAAAAAATCAGTTTTATAAGACTACAGCTTGGGATATCTTTGGAAAAGGAGTGTATTGAGAACACAGCATATGGAAATTATTTCGCGTTGGCAATATCTGTGATTTAACATTGCAACATTAGAAATCCAACTGGTTCTTCAAAGTCACCTAAGTCCCTCATAATGACAATATTAGCTTCTTCTAAATAATAAGTTAGCCAGTCAAACTATGTTCTACAGCATGTTAGAAGTTTCATCCTTCTAGTCAATGTCACATTTCAAGGCAAAGTCAATTTATATGTAAGTTAAACGAAGTGCTGTCACTAAAAATTGAGAATTATGTCTAATGCCAATCAGAAATGGAATAAATAAGTATTAGAGGATTTGCAAGTGAAAGCAACCACAGAAATTCTATCATCAGGAAGGAAAATGTATTACCTGCAGAGGTTACAGATAAGACGCTAGAACCCAGAAGAGAAAGAATCTCTGTAAATATTTCCATTAAGTTAATCAAGAGTGGCTGGGTACGGTGGCTCATGCCTGTAATCCCAGGACTTTGGGAGGCCAAAGAGGGCGGATCACGAGGTCAGGAGTTCGAGACCAGCCTGGCCAACATGGTGAAACACTGTCTCTATTAAAAATCCAAAAAATTAGCCAGGCGTGGTGGTATACACCTGTAATCCCAGCTACCCAGGAGGCTGAGGCAGGAGAATTGGTTTAATCCAGAAGGCAGAGGTTGCAGCTAGCTGAGATCACACCATTGCACTCCAGCCTGGGTGACAGATCATGGCTCCATTTTGAAAAAAAAAATAAAGAAAGAAAGAAAGTTAATCAGGGTGAGAATAGGATGAGTTTTTCGCCCACAAAAAGAGATGAGATTCATGCATTCTTTCAACATGCATTCCATCAATAGTGAGCACCTGCTCTGAGCTAGGCCCATTCTAGGTCTCAGAAAATGAGTAAGCAACCAGACATGGCCCCTGATTTGGAGCTCACATTTTAGAGCAGCTAAATGGACAGTAAACAAGTAAGTAAATTAAGATCGTTTTAAATTGGGGGATGTTCTTTAGAGAAGCACTTCCATAAAGCTGAATCGCATCATAGACTATGACTGCCAGGTGGTAGGGAAGGTAATATCTCACCTGCTTGTGGATAGCAGAGCTTCTGAGGCCTTGCAAATTATTTAGTACTAAGATTTCTGTCTTAGGTCAAGTTCCCTAAAAGCAGAGCCTGAGGCAGGGATTGAGTGCATGTAATTCATTCAGGAAGAACTCTCAGGAGATAGGAGTAAGGAAAACAGGATATGGCAGGGAACGAGCTAAGTGAGATGTGGTCTCAGCAGGAGACTGGCTCCAGTCTGATCTCACAGGGAGCTCCAGAGGATCAACTGCACCACCATGTTATCCCAACCTAAGGTCTTTTGTTCTCCTGTGTCAGCCGGTCCCTGGCCAAGGGCTGCAGACTCTCTGGGGGCCCCAGCAGACTGGAGGAGAAGGAGCATGCTCTGTGGTCTACTCTTTTGTGCACACCCACCCACCTCTTCCCCAGCTGACACTGCTGGAGGAGGAGAGGGAGAGATGTCATCTCCTCCTATGGCAACCTGTGGGATAGCAACGGCCCTTTTCCTGCTGGGTGTAATCTGCTGCCATCTCTTGCTGTCTGCAGCCTGACAGAGAAGGGTGAAGGTCACCAGGTTCCACTGATAGGGGTCTTTGTCTCAAGCGGCAACCCTAGGACCGAGGGTCCCTTGCAAGATTCAGTCACATTTCATGACTGTCTGCAACACACCCCATGCCTCTGATGGAAGGAACACAATGCCCCATGCTGCACTCATTTCTGCCAGACTACAGTCCCTGATCTCAATTTCCCTCTGCAGTCCCCAACTCTGGGGTCTGCAGACACATTTCAGATCCCTCCTTTGTACCTCCCAGGAGGCAGAAGCCAGAGGAAATAATACTTGTCCCAATGCACCTGACCACGCCACTTCACTGCACGCTCTTTCACCCTCTCCAGGAGAAATCAAGCTTGTTGAATACTTACCAATGTGTCCACATGCATTTAGTCCCCACAACCACTTCATGGGGCAGCATTGTCATCCCCAAGTTACACATGAGGAAACTGAGTAGAGCATTTATATAACATGCATCTAAGTGGTGGACAAAGGATCTAACCAGGCAGTGCGGCACCAGAGCACACATTTTTGTTGTTCAGAGAGATGGGGTCTCCCTCTGTCCCTCAAATTGGAGTACAGTGTCCTGATCATAGCTCAGTGCAGCCTTGAACTCCCGGGCTCCACCAGTCTTCCCGCCTCAGCCTCCCGAGTAGCTGGGACTAGACGCATTCACCACCAACCCAGCTAATTTTTAAAAAACATTTTTCTAGAGATAGGGTCTGATCCCAAACTCCTGACTTCAAGCGATCCTCCTGCCTCAGCCTCCCAAAGTGCTGGGATTACAGTTGTGAGCCCCCGCGCCCAGCCCAGAGCACACTTTTTTTATTTTTTTTGAGATGGAGTCTCACTCTGTCACCCAGGCTGAAGTGCAGTGGCAAAATCTCGGCCCAGAGCACACTTTTAACCACCATATCATTCTGTCTCTGGGTAGGTTAGTCAAGCTCTGTAGCTGATCAGATGTCTGTAGAGAGAAAGAGACATCAATCTCCCCTTCTTCCAAACACCCCCAAATTTTACAAGTGATTTTCTCAGATCCCTCAGCATCAGGAATGGGGATGTGCAGGGCAGCCTGTCCCCTCCGAACAGCCCAGCAGATATCCCAAGATTACATCTCATTGGCTCTGACTAGGACATGAGCCCAAAGCTGACCCAGTTGCTGTAGCCATGGCATGCAGCATCCTCGGTCCTCTGGCCAGGCCAGAGCTACATCCCATCTCTGGATCCTCGCGTTGAGTCAATAATCTTGAACCAGGCGCGGACTGAAGCTCAAGGAGGAGTCAGAGTAATGTGACCCAGCCGACCAGGAAGTGGGTGCTGAGCAGGCAAGCATTCATCACCCACTGCACACACCAGGGAAGGCTTGTGGTGGCTTAGTCCCACCTGGGGGCAAAGAAAAGAGTGCCTGCTCCATGCCACAATGTGATGCCCAACACCGTATCTTAAAGCTAGCTGGCTTTGTAATCCCAGCTACTTGGGAGGCTGAGGCAGGAGAACCACTTGAATCCAGGAGGCGGAGGTTGCAGTGAGCCAAGATCACGCCATTGCACTCCAGCCTGGGTGACAAGAGAGAAATTCTGTCTCCAAAAAATAAAAATAAAAAATAAAATTAAAAAGCTAGCCTGCTTAATCCTCACAAAGATGTCATCTACTTTTTGGGATTCTACAGGTAGAAACACTGAGACACTGAGACACTGGGAGATTTTAAAACTCACCACCAGCCGGGCATGGTGTCTCATGCCTGTAATCCCAGCACTTTGAGAGGCTGAGGCAGGAGAATTACTTGAACCCAGGACTTCAGGACCAGCCTGGGCAAATTAGTGAGACCTCATCTCTACAAATATTAAAAAAAAAAAATTAGGGCAAGGCGCCGTGGCTCACACAAGTAATCCCAGCACTTTAGGAGGCCAAGGCAAGTGGATCACTTCAGCCCAGGAATTCAAAACCAGCCTGGCCAACACGACAAAACTCTATCTCAACTAAAAATACAAAACTTAGCTGGGCATAGTCGCACATGTCTATAATCCCAGCTACTTAGGAGGCTGAGGTACAAGAATTGCTTGAACCCAGGAGTCAGAGGTTGCAGAGTGAGACTGTGTCTCAAAAAAAAAAAAAAAAAAAAAAAATAGGTGTGGTTGCACATGCCTGTTGCCCCAGCTGCTGAAGAGGCTGAGGTAGCAGGATCACTTAAGCCCAGAAGTTCAAGGGTGCAATGAGCTATGATTGTACCCCTGCACCACTATGTATACATATATATGTATATATGTATGTGTATATATACACATATATACATGTATGTGTATATATACACATATATACATGTATGTGTATATATGTATACATATGCACATATATATACATGTACATGTGTATGTGTGTGTATATATATATATGTGTATATATATAAAAAACACACATGCACAAATTCACCACCAACAACTCAGAAATTACCGTCTCCTTCTATTCTAAGGAACTGTTTTTCATTTTGCCATCTCTGAAGTTGGAACACACCTTACAATCACTGGAATGTCAAGGTCTCGTTGGCAGCATTTTTCTGCTTAGTAGCCCATAAAATAATAGCACATCTTGTAACTAACAGTGTTGTAGATGCTATTAGATCCTGGGGAAGCCCAGAATCTAACTCCACCCTGTCTGACTCCAAAGACCATATATTTCCTATGCCTTTGGACTGGGGCACAGATATAGACAACTCGAGCTTTGCTGATTGTGAGAAAGGTATGAGAAATGGCCCCGATGGAATTTTCTTCTTGTACTTGCAGGGGAACAAAGTGGCATCATTCCACTATTCCAAGGGAGGTGCTAAATAAGAGGGTGAGGCTGTCAAGCGGTCCCTGGTGGAGTCCTACACTCACCCAAACAGCAACGAGACAGAGCGGAGGGAGAACATCGATACCATCATGAACTGGTTCACCAAGGAAGACTTTGACTTTGTGACTCTGTGCTACAGAGAGCCAGATAACGTGGGACACCGATTCGGGCCAGAGGCAGAGAACAGGAAGTTGATGATTCAGCAAATCGGCAGGACCATCGGGTATCTGGAGGGAGCCACTGAGAAGCACAGCCTGCAGAGCACCTCAGCGTCATCATCACACGAGACCATGGGGTGACCACCGAGAAGAAGAGACCCAATGTCAACAAGATCCCCTTGTCCAACTACATCAAGTTCAGGGACTGGGTCAAGTTTGATATTGTGGGCTATGGTGGCTTTGGGATGCCCCTGCCCAAATCGGGGCAAGAAGAAGCCCTTTACCAGGCACTGAAGAATGCGTACCCTCACCTCCACATCTACAAGAAGGAGGAGTTTCCAGAACACTTCCATATCGCTAAACATGACCGGGTTCTGCCAATCGTGATGTATGCCAACTCTGGTTACACTATCAATGGGGTAAGTTCATTCTAAAATGAATAAAGTCACCTTGGATCTAGGAGACAACCATTAGGGAAGGGTGGTTCTGCAAAAATCAAACATAAGTGCACAGCCAGGCACGGTGGCTCATGCGCATAATCCCAGCACTTTGGGAGGCTGAGGCAGGTGTATCACCTGAGGTCAGGAGTTTGAGACCAGCCTGGCCAACATGGTGAAACCCCATCTCTACTAAAAATACAAAAATTAGCTGGGCGTGGTGGTGCACATCTGTAGTTCCAGCTACTCTGGAGGCCGAGGCAGGAGAATCGCTTGAAGTTGGGAGGCAGAGGTTGCAGTGAACCAAGATCATGCTACTGCACTCCAGTCTGGGAAACAGAGTGAGACCCTGTCTCAAAAAAATATAATATAATATAATATAATATAATATAATATAATATAATATAATATAATATATAATATAATATAATATAACAAAACAAAATAAAATAAAATAAGTGCACACACTACGAGTTGTAGCCCACAGGGTCCTAAATGTTTCCCACCCTCCGCCCAACCAATGCTGCTCCAAATTACTGTTATACGAGATTAAAGACCAATTCAACTTGATAAGGCTGATTAAAAATACAAATAAGGCTGGCCATGGTGGTTCACACTTGTAATCTCAGTGTTTTGGGAGGCCAAGATAGGAGGATTGCTTAAGGCCAGGAGTTCAAGACCAGCCCGGGCAACACAGGGAGACCCCATCTCTACAAAAAACAAACAAATAAATAACTAGCCAGACATGGCGATGCATGCCTGTAGTCCCAGCTACTCAGGAGGCTGAGGTGGCAGGATTTCTTGAGCCCAGGAAGTCAAGGCTGCACTAAGCTGTGGTTGCACTACTGCACTCCAGCTTGAGCAACAGAGCAAGACCCCGTCTCTAAAAAATAAATAAATAAATAATAAAAAATAAACACCAACTTCATTATTCAAATTTCTGCATAGCGCTTCACTAAACATTAAATAGCAGTTCTTTCATTTTTGTCTTCCCAAAAACCCTATAAAATAGATGCTCTTAGTTCCACCACTTTAAAGAAGAAATCAAAATCTAGAAAGAAGTGACTTGATATTAAAAATGTAAGGTTGGGCTGGGTGCAGTGGCTCACACCTGTAATCCCAGCACTTTAGAAGGCTAAGGTAGGTAGATTTCTTGAGCCCAGGGGTTTGAGACCAGCCTAGGCAACACAGTGAAGCACCATCTCTACAAAAAATACAAAAAAATGTGGCTAGGCTTAGTGGCACGTGCCTGTGGTCCCAGCAACTCAGGAGGCTGAAGTGGGAGAACTGCTTGAGCCCGGGAATATTGAGTCTGCAGTGAGCCATGATCACGCCACTGTGAGATAGGAGGCAGGACTTGACTCCACAGGCAGGGCTTGGACACCAGACCTAATTGACGACTAGCTAAAACAAGGCTGGGGCAGACGCAGCTTTCCATCAGACATGCCCACCAGTGTGCCATGTGAGTTTACTATTGCCAAGGCAACACCCGGGAGTTACTGCCCCTTTCCAGGGTAATGACCCAATGACTCAAAGGTTACTACCCATTTTCTAGAAATTCCTGCATAAACTGCCCTTTAATCTGCATGCAATTAAAAGTGGGTATAAATGTGATTGCAGACTCTCTGCCGCTACTCTCTGCCTCCAGGGTAACCCTGCCCTACAGGAGCAGTCACAGGGCTGTAATGCTGCCTCTTCAATAAAGCTGTTTTCTTCTAAACCTCCGGCTTGCCCTTGAATTCTTTCCTGGGTAAAGACAAGAACCCTCACGTGCTACTGAGAGGTGACAGCATGCTGGTGCCCTGGAGCTCACTCTCGGCACCTCCTCTGCCTGGGCTCCCACTTTGGCGGCACTTGAGGAGCCCTTCAGCCCGCCGCTGAACTGTGGGAGCCCCTTCCTGAGCTGGCCGAGGCTGGAGCCAGCTCCCTCAGCTTGCGGCGAGGTATAGAGGGAGAGGCGCGGGCAGGAACTGGGGCTGGGCGTGGCGCTTGCGGGCCAGCGCTAGTTCCGGGTGGGCATGGGCTCACTGGGCCCCGCACTCAGAGTAGCCCGCTGGCCCCGCTGGACCCAGGCAGTGAGGGGCTTAGCACCTGGCCCAGCAGCTGCTTTGCTCAATTTCTTGCAGGGCCTTAGCTGCTTCCCTGCAGGGCAGGGCTCGGGACAAGCAGCCCGCCATGCCTGAGCCTCCCCCCAACTCTCCATGGGCTCCTGCGTGGCCTGAGCCTCCCTGATGAGTGCCGAGCCTCCCCAATGAGCACCGCCGCCTGCTGCAGGGCGCCCAGTCCCATCGACCACCCAAGGGCTGAGGAGTGCCAGCACAGGACACAGGACTGGCAGGCAGCTCCACCTGCGGCCCCCGTGTGGGATCTACTTGGTGAAGCCAGCTGGGCTCCTGAGTCTGGTGGGAACTTTGAGAACCTTTATGTCAAGCTAAGGGATTGTAAATACACCAATCGGCACTCTGTATCTAGCTCAAGGTTTGTAAACACACCAATCAGCACCCTGTGTCCAGCTCAGGGTTTGTCAATGCACCAATCGACACTCTGTGTCTAGCTAATGTAGTAGGGGCTTGGAGAACTTTTGTATCTAGCTCAGGTATTGTAAACGCACCAATCAGCACCCTGTCAAAACAGACCAATCAGCTCTCTGTAAAACAGACCAATCGGCTCTCTGTAAAATGGACCAATCAGCAGGATGTGGGTGGGGCCAGATAAGGGAATAAAAGTAGGCTGCCCCAGCCAGCAGTGGCAACCCTCTGGGGTCCCTTTCCACACTGGGGAAGCTTTGTTCTTTTGCTCTTTGCAATAAATGTTGCTGCTGCTCACTCTTTGGGTCCACATTGCCTTTATGAGCTGTAACACTCACCTCGAAGGTCTGCAGCTTCACTCCTGAAGCCAGCGAGACTATGAACCCACCGGGAGGAACAAACAACTCCAGACGCACCGCCTTAAGAGCTGTAACACTCACCTTGAAGGTCTGCAGCTTCACTCCTGAAGCCAGTGAGACCACAAACCCACCAGAAAGAAGAAACTCTGAACACATCAGAGCATCAGAAGGAACAAACTCCAGACAAGCCACCTTTAAGAACTGTGACACTCATCCCGAGGGTCCGCAGCTTCATTCTTGAAGTCAGTGAGACCAAGAACCCACCAGTTCCGGACACACTATGCTCCATTTCAGGGCTCCCCTGCTCTGCGTCAACTGCACTCTGGCCTGAGTGGCAGAGAGAGAGACCCTATCTTAAAAAAAAGAAAGAAATGTAAGGTTAAGTGCTGCCCCCAAGCCTGAGTGGCCAATCATTATACAGAGTACACAAAGATCACCAAAAAAGTCACCACAGAAGCCCCCCGCCGCTGGTTCTCATTTGCCCATATCAAAAAATATGCAAGCCTGTTCATACAAAGACACACACAGATGCTCATAGCAAAATTATTCATAATTGTCAAAAGGTGGCAACAACACAAATGCCTATCAACAACAGAAGAATGGGCAAACAAGTACAGTCTACCCATGTGATGGAACATTAATCAGCCAAAATATGGAATGAACGGCTGATTCATGCTACAACCTGGATACACCTTGAAACCATTAGGCTAAGTGAGAGAAGCCAGACAAATATTAGATGATTCTACATATATATATATATGCCCAGAATATGAAAATCCAAAGAAACAGAAAGTAGATTAATGGTTGCCAGGGGCCAGGTGTGGGGATAGTTGGAGGGAAATAAGGGGTGACTGCTAATGGATACAGGGTTTCTTCTGGGGTAATTAAAATTTCTAAAATTGATGGTGATGATGGCTGCACAACTCTGTGAATATATTAAAAAACACTGAATTATACACTTTATGTATTTAATTAGAGACAGGGTCTGGCTCTGTTGCCCAGGCTGGAGTGTAGTGGTGCAATCTCAACTCACTGCACCCTCCACCTCCCGGACTCAAACCATCCTCCCACTTCAGCCTCCTGACTAGCTAGGACTACAGACACACACCACCATGCCCAGCTAATTTTTTTGTATTTTTGGTCGAGACAGGGTTTTGCCATGTTGCTCGGGCTCGTCTCAAACTCTTGGGTTCAAGCGATGCTCCCACCTCAGCCTCCCAAAGTGCTGAGATTACAAGTGTGAGCCACCATGCCCGGCCAAATGATACACTTTAAATGGGTAAATTGTATGGTATGTGAATTATCTTTCAATAAAGCTATTATTAAAAAGCAGCTTTAAGGGCCAGACATAAGGGCCATGCCTGTAATCCCAGCATTTTGAGAAGCCAAGACAGGAGGATCACTTGAGCCCAGGAGTTCAAGCCCAGCCTAGACAACATGGGAAAACCTGGTCTCTACAAAAAATTTAAAAATTAGGCTTGGCGTGGTGGCTCACGCTTGTAATCCCAGCACTTTGGGAGGCTGAGGTAGGTGGATTACTTGAGTTCAGGAGTTCAAAACCAGGCTGGCCAACATGGTGAAACCCTGTCGCTAATAAAAATATTTTTTAAAAATTAGCCAGGCGTGATTGTGTGTGCCGAGGCTGAGGCAGAAGAATCGCTTGAACCCGAGAGGTGGAGGTTGCAGTGAACCGAGATTATGCCACTGCACTCCAACCTGCTGGGCAACAGAGCGAAACTCCATTTCAAAAAAAAAAAAAAAAAACTAAAAATTAAAAATTAGCCAGCGGTGGTGGTTAGTGTTTGTAGTCCCAGCTACTCTGGAGGCTAAAGTGGGAGGATTGCTTGAGCCCAGGAGGTTGAGGCTGCAGTGAGCCAAGATTGTGTCACTACACTCTGGCCTCAGCAACAGAACAAGACCCTGTTTCACAATTTTAAAAACAATTAGAAAACAAGCCTAAAGAAAACACAAAAACCAAAGCTAACTGTGAAACGTAAATGAGGTGGTCTATTTTTTGTTAACTACGAACTAACAATTCATGGCAGAAACAAAGTTTAAGTGATGCTATAGCCGGGCCCTGTGGCTCATGCCAGTAATCCCAACACTTTGGGAGGCTGAGGCGGGTGGATCACCTGAAGTCAGGAGTTTGAGACCAGCCCGGTCAACATGGTGAAACCCCGTCTCTAATAAAAATACAAAAATTAGCCGGGAGTGGTGGCGGGTGCCTATAATCCCAGCTACTCGGGAGGCTGAGACAGGAGAATCGCTTGAACCCCGGGGGCAGAGGTTGCAGTGAGCCAAGATCGCACCATTGCACTCCAGCCTGGGCGACAGAGCAAAACTCCGTCTCAAAAAATAAATAAATAATTAAATAAATGATGCTATAAACCTCATGTGAGGGAAGACTGCCCCAGGTACAGCTTGAAGAACCCTTGCTGTGAATAGGAGCCAAATGCGATAATTCTGTTTGCAACTTCCTTCATGTTAGCTTGTTGCAACTCCGGAGTGTAATAGGTATGAGAAAACTCATGGGGTTACTGTTTAATGCTGGCGGAAATATTCACATTAAAATACAACAGTTTATCACCTAAGTTATATTTTATCCCTGAAGTGGCCCGGAACACTGATTGCTATACACCAATCGCACGCCCATAGCTAAGGCCTTGCCAAGGAGATATTCCACAGTCACCTGGCCTATTTGTAAACGTGGTTTATGACGTTTTGTAACAGAATATCTTGACAGTAGCATGAGAACATTTAACGAGACAAGAACATTCCCCACTGACCAACCAGATGGTTTCAGGGAACAGGATGCTGTGCTCAGTTTAATCTTCTGCTGAACCATTAGGCAGAAAATCCTCTGGGTCAATGCCTCTCACTGAATCCACTTCTCATCCTGTCCACCTGCCTGCTTTGCAGTGCAGAGTAAAGTGGGCCTTCTTTGACCCTCTTCAGGGACCAATGTGCTTGAGGCCATCATGAGGACATTCATTCTTTCTTTTTTTTTTTTTTTTTTTTTTTGGAGAGAGTCTCGCTCTGTCGCTCAGGCTGGAATGCAGTGGTGTGATCTCAGCTCCCCACTGTAACCTCTGCTTCCCAAGTTCAAGTGACTCTCTTGCCTCAGCCTCCTGAGTAGCTGGGATTACAGGCACGCATCACCAGGCCCAGCTAATTTTTCTATTTTTTGTAGAGACAGGGTTTCACCATGTTGACCATGCTGGTGTCGAACTCCTGACTTCAAGTGATCCACCTGCCTCGGCCTCCCAAAGTGCTGGTATTACAGGTGTGAGCCAACATGCCTGGCAGAGGGCTTTCATTCTTCATGGACTGCTCCATAGCCTCAGAGACAGTCGGACTGGTTTCTTCAACCAGAGCGGAGCAGACAGGCAATTTCTGTATCCACCAGGACAAATATTAGCCCAACTCTTCAATGTACAGAGAGCATCACATTTCTTATATACTAGAATATCTGTTGGTCTAAAATATAAATAAATAGTATTGTAGCCAGCCACAGTGGCTCACACCTATAATTGCAGAGATTTGTGGGGCTGAGGCAGGAGGTTCACTTGAGGTCAAGTGTTCGAGACCACCCTGGGCAACATAGCGAGACAACCCCCCCCCCCCACCGCCACCTGCCATCTCTACAAAAATTAAAATAATTAGCTGGGCATAGTAGTGTGGGCCTGTAGTCCCAACTACTTGGGAAACTGATGTGGGTGGATTGCTTGAGCCCAGGAATCTGAGGCTGCAGTGGGCTATGACTGCATCACTGTACTCCAGCTAGACCTTGTCTCAAAAAAAAAAAAAAAAAAGTGTGCAATTGACATTACTTTATCATTTGAAAAGAGGGACAGACAAGAAAGGTATTTGGCATTTACCAAGCAATTACTCATAATCCTCATCCCATCCTACCCCCACCCTTCCCCTAAAAATGTATGTATATGTTTGTATACCATAAAACATACATCTATTTGGCTCTGGAACCAGATTGCTTGGGTTCAATTACCTGATCTAGCATTTGCTCCTGATGACTCAGTGCAGAAAAGCTCTGTAACTCAGTTTCCCCAGCTGTAAAATGGGGAATGGCGCCTTTACTGGGCTGCCATGAGGGTAAAGGGGGTAACATATATTTATAAAGCATTCAGAACAATTCATGATACACAGTAAGCTCTATATATTTGAGCTTATTATTACTGTCAGTACGATTATCATCATTTTGCTGTTTCCAATGGGTACATTTTCTACATTCTCTTTCTTAAAGACCTTTAAGTCCTTGGTATTCTCTCCACCACCACAGAGGGCAGTGTCCTTGTAGTTTAAATTTTCAAAGACTTCATGGATCCAATAAGCACGACATTAACTAAGGGACAGTTTTCTTTCAGTGGATTGGAATCTAAAATGGCTTTTTTATTGTTATTATTGGCCAGGCTGGTCTCGAACTCCTGACTTCAAGTGATTCCCCCCACCTCACCCTCCCAAAGTGTGCTGAGACTCCAGGCATGAGCCACCATGCACGGCCTTCATTCTCTTCTTTTATAAGGACACCAGTCATTGCATCTGCCCCCTCACCAGCAGCCCCCAATCCAGGATGACTCATCGTTACTTGATTACATCTAGAAAGACCCTATTTCCAAATAAGGTCACATTCCTGGGTACCGAGGATTAAGATTTCCAATTTTTTCCCTGACTCATTTTTTTTTTTTTTTTTTTGAGTCAGCGCCTCACCCTGTCATCCAGGCTGGAGTACAGTTATGTGATTATAGCTCACTGCAGCCTCAAACTCCTGGGCTCAAGGGATCCCCTGACCTCAGCCTTCCAAGTGGCTGAGACTACAGGTGCACACCATCATGCCCAACTAATTTTTTTTGTTTTTTTGTGTGTTTTTTTTTTGTACAGGTTAGGTCTCACTCTGTTGACCAGGCTGGTCTGACCTCAAGAGATTCTCTTGCCTTGGCCTCCCAAGGCACTGGGATTACAGGCGTTATCCCATGCTTGGCCCTCTTTCTACACCTCAATCATTGCATCATTAGCCTGAGCTGCGCATATTCCTTATTCTGCCCATCCCTGACCAACCTCCTCCTTTAACATAACTTCCATCTCGATATCATGGGGCCTGCTGGGCACTGCAAACAGCCTAAGGAAAGTGGAAACTTTACTTAACCTTAAATTGTATTACAAAGCCCACATTGAACGTAATTTATATTTAAACTATAAAAATTTTCTGTAAATTAAAACATGACCTATAAAGGTCTCTACACCCTGAAGCAACGTTTTAGAAAGAAATCAATTGGTCCTTTTCTGCAGAAACCATTAACCATAGGAGAGATAAAGGAAAAACTTCAATGTACTGATTGAACTTCCATGCCCATAAGTTAACTTCTAAAAGGCAACCATTCCATATTGTTAAACTGCCTTAGGTTGTTATTACTGTTATGAAAGAGATCTTCAAACCAGAAGTTGAATCTTGACTGTAGTTCTTGCACGTACACGCACACTCTTGCAACTGAAGCCACTCAGATTGTCCTAATGCTGCTCCCCATAGCAACACCACCTGGAATTTTACGTTTGGTTTTAAGCATCAGTCATAATCTTCACTTGCACCCGAACACACCGCACCTGTGAGAGCCACGTGATATTAAAAAAATCCCTTTAGTGAGGCTGGGCGTGGTGGCTCACGCCTGTAATCCTAGCGCTTTGGGAGGCCAAGGTAGGTGGATCATGATGTCAAGAGATTGAGACCATCCTGGCCAACATGGTAACACCCTGT
This sequence comes from Homo sapiens, assembly GCF_000001405.40. NCBI lineage: Eukaryota > Metazoa > Chordata > Mammalia > Primates > Hominidae > Homo > Homo sapiens. The sequence continues at coordinate 9,150,281 of NC_000004.12, forward strand.
CTCTACTAAAAATACAAAAATTAGCTGGGCGTGGTGATGTGTGCCTGTAGTCCCAGCTACTCGAGATGCTGAGGCAGGAGAATCGCTGGAGCCCGGGAGGCAGAGGTTGCCGTGAGCCGAGGTCGTGCCGCTGCACTCCAGCCTGGCAACAGAGGGAGACTCTCTGAAACAAAAAAAATCCCTTCAGTGCCTTGATCCTTCCAGATTCAGATCCAAGAGAGATGACATTTGTCCATCACCAGACACTGCGCACCAAGATAAAGATTTCTTCTGGCCAGGCGCGGTGGGTCATGCCTGTAATCCCAGCACTTTGGGAGGCAGAGGCGGGTGGATAACCTGAAGTCAGGAATTTGAGACCAGCCTGGCCAAGGTGTTCAAACCCTGTCTCTACCAAAAATACAAAAGTGGCCCGGCAGGGTGGCTCACGCCTGTAATCCCAGCTACTCGGGAGGCTGAGGCAGGAGAATCGCTTGAACCTGGGAGGTGGAGGTTGCAGTGAGCCGAGATCGCACCATTGCACTCCAGCCTGGGCAACTAGAGAGCAAAACTCCGTCTCCAGAAAAAAAGAAAAAAAGATTTCTTCTGTGTGCATGGCTCAGCTCTATGGTCTGCTAGCGTCCTTCCTCAATCTGCTTCCAATCTGTGGACTCAAGAAAGACTGAACCAACCTAGATTAATATTTTAGTGTAACATAATACAGTGTTACTTACTATGACATTGACCGTATATGCCCTTTTGCTCCTTGGAGGAAAGACAATTAATAGCTATTATGTGAGTTAATAAAATAAGCCCAGGATTTATGAGTATAACTAACCTGTTCCCATTGGTTTTCCTCGTCTCCTGCAGGCAGAGAGCTGATCAAAACAGCAAAAGCAAAGCAGTGCCCCTGGCCCAGTTCTGAAGCCAATCTTCCTTAATCACCCAGACCCATCCCTGGTTAGGACTTGCTGTGGATTCTCAGGTGACTCCATCTCAGGATACAGGGACTGAGAGGGTGTATGCAACATCTCAGAGCCAGAAACCATTGATTTTGTCTAAAAACACAGTAATAACCACATCCCATCCTCTTGATTTAAATGAAAGTGTTTGGAAGAATAAAAGATGAACCTTTTTTTTTTGTCAGATCTTGCGCTCATTTGGTTCTGGTGTGGAACAACAGCTATAAGAGAACAAGTGTATTCAATTAGAATTAATTCCCCTCTCTTATTCTCATAGCTGAGCAGGGCTTAAGTGCCTCTCATCTGAAAGAGGTAATAAGATTTTATCTGTCTCCTCATCTACCTTTTGCAAGTATACTTAACAAATTCGCTCTCGGGACTCTTCCAAATGGAGTTTTATGAGGAATTTGCTAAGGTAAACGTTTTAGACTTTGAACACAGTTCAGATTTCAGGGGCAGTACTGAAATCTAAACTGTGTTGCTAACTGCCCTGCCTTTCAACTCAAGACACAATAACTTTGAACTAAAATAATTATATTTTTGTTGTTTTCCACTCTGTCCCCACGTCTATATCACTACCACCCCCAATCCCACCCCGCAGGAGCTAACTCCTCCTTCCTGTCCCTGCAAGATCAAAACTCCTCCTGCAAGCCCCGCTAGCTCTGTCTGCTCACCTTCGTGGTAGATATCGCTATCGTACTTTTATCCTCCTTTGTGTGATAAGTACTTCAATATCCACTTCTTCCACGAGCCCCTGAGTCCCTGAAGGGCCTGGACCACACCTAGTTTTTCTCACCGTTACATATCCCTTGTCAGGCACATGGTAGGCGCTTAAAAAGTATTTGGTGAACGAATGGCTTGTTTGGTGACAGTCCAAAGGCTGGGGGACAGAGGGAAAGCTCCCTCCTTTCGGGCCCCAGACGGGTGGCGCTGATGGAGAGGAGGCTAGCCTAAGTCCTCCAGGACCGAAGCATGCACCCGTAAGGCCCCTGCTAAAAAGACCTTCCTGAAGGCGGAGGAACTGCGAGAGTGCCTACGTTAGCCCAAGGCCTGACCCGACGATCCCAGGGACCCTCGACCTAACTGGCCCCGCCTCCCGGGCCCCAAACCCGGACTCGGCCCCCCCGAAGCTCCGGATCCTGGGGCCCGCCCCTGGCCCCGCGTCGGAAGACCATGGGCTCGCTCCTGGGCCTTCCTCAAACCCTCCGCAGGTAACGCCTCCCGAACTGGAGCCACATTCCGATCCCCTCCTCAAATCCCTCCCCGTTTCCCACACCCTGGACCCCTCGCTCCGTCTCGGCCCCGCCCCAAGCCCAGCTAGGTCTCGGCCCCCGAGCCCAGCCCCGACCGGCCTCCCAGTCCCTGGGTCCCTCCCGACACCGGCCCCTCCCTAAGCTCCGCCTCCCAGGGCCCACCTCCTGAGCGCAGCCCAGCCCGGACTCGGCCCCGCCTCCCGGACCCTGGGCCCCTCCCCACGTGGGCCCGTCCTAAGCTTCGCCTCCCAGAGTCCGCGCACCGCCTGGCCGTGTGCTACGACATAGTCAACGCCCCGCCCCTGCCCCGCCTCCTGAGCCCTTCCCTGGGTCTGGCTTTAGCCCCGCCCTAAGACCTCTCTCCTGGGCTCGGCTCTGAGTCCCGCCTCCTGAACCCAATGGCGTTTATCCCCGCCCTAATGCCCGCCTCCAGGACTCTTATCCTGCCCCCACGCAAGGCACTGCCTCCAGGACGCCACCAACCTGCACGCTTCCGAAGCCCAGCTTCCAGGATCGCCCTATCCTGGCCCCGCCCCAGGAACCGCCAACCTGGACTCTCCCCAGGACCTGCCCCAACGTCGCTTATCCTGGCCCTACCCCAGGCTTCGCCCTCATGACGTTCATCCTGGCCACACCCCAGGCCCCGCCCTCCTAACGCTCATCTTGGCCCCGCCCTAGAGTCCGCCCCCAGGACGCACCTCCTGACCGTATCCCCAGGCCCCGCCCCCTCTCTGCCCCCGCGCACTGCCCTCGGCCCGCCCCCTCTTCAGTCCAGGCCCGGCTTCCTCCAGGTCTCCAGGCAACGCTGCGGCTCCGCCCACGTCATGGCGCCCGAGGAGAACGCGGGGACAGAACTCTGGCTGCAGGGTTTCGAGCGCCGCTTCCTGGCGGCGCGCTCACTGCGCTCCTTCCCCTGGCAGGTGGCCGGCGGGGCGAGCGGAGAGGCCCGCGGGGGTCGCGGGAGTCCAGGGGCAGACGGGATGGGTCTCGGTGCTGAAACCCCTGGCGCTCCGGCCACGTGCGTTCCTGGGCTCTCCCCGGTCAGGGCCGCGAGACCCGGTCCCCGTCCCTGGGGCCTGGCCAGAGTCGCTCGCACCCCTTCTGCCCCGCGAGCTGGCGGCGGAAGCTGGGGGCGTCTCCACCGCCCTGGGGGGCAGACGCGCGTTCGGTGTGGGGCACAGTTCACGATCATTTTCACGACTTTTTAAAGGCAGTAATCGTTCTGGTCACTGGGACACAGCTGCGCTCGCCCATTCTAAAAAGTCAGCGCCCTCAGGCCCGCGGGTAACCACCGCCTCCTGAGCGCGGTGACCAGGTCACAGGCTGTCTCTCATGCCTCAGTGTTCTCATCTGTATGTCGAGCACTGCACAGAATCGGCTCATGCGCTGAGGCTTTCACGCCTGTGATGGAAGAGACAGAGAAGGGGGTGGCCTCTCCTCTCCCTGGGGACCTGCCATTCTCAGCATAGGCATATGGCAGGCAGCAGCCTCCCTTCTGCCAGCAGAGGGGCTTAATGCACCCCGCTCCATTTGTAATTCATGTGCAGTGAGCTCACTGGGATGAGTCAGTTTGGATATATATTCCTCCCTGTGTCTGCCCCATTTTATGGGGTGTTGCTTAATCATTTGCGTTATTGCATTGACATAAAATATTTAGCACTCAGGGATCATTTCTGGTCAGGAGAAATTTGTGCATTTTTAACCCAAAATAGAAACCTTCATAAAAGCATCATAGGTCTCCATTCAATATTGACTATAATTGTTCACATGCCCACACTGAATGCTAACTTGGGCTCACCCTCAACACCCACGAGGTGGGTACTATTATTATCACTCACATTTGACCAGAGGGATTGTTTGATTAGGGTGAAGTAGTTGAGAGTTCAGACCCAGGAGACAGCCTGCCTGCTTCGAATCCTGGCCCAACCCCTGGCCCTGTGTGACCTTGGGCAAGTGACTGCATCTCTCTGTGTTATTGTTTTCTTATTAACAAAATGGGGGATATAATGATACCTACCTCTTAGGGTTGTTGTCAGCGTTGAATACAAAAGCCTGCGGATCAGTGCCTGGCTCATGGTAAATGCATGTCGGTGTTAGCTAGTGTTTTATTCAGTCTCAAAATGCCTTCCGTGAGCCAGGCACCATGGATCAGCTGTACCCATGATAGATGAGGCTCTGCTTGCATGGGAGAGCCAGAGAATAAACAAATAAATGAATAAACAAGAAAATACCAGATTAGAGTGGCTTTAAAACCAATAAAACAGGGAAATAGTGAATGGAGCAACTGGGAAAAAGTGTCAACAAAGTCAGGGAATCAGGGAAGCCTTCCCCAAAGGGGTGGCATTTGAACTGAGGCCTGAGTGGTGAAGCAGCCAGCCATGGGAAGGGTTTGGGGAACAGGATATGCAAAGGCCCTGTGGTGGAAATAAGCCAGCTGTGGTTGAGGAACAACAGCAAGGCAGCCAGTGTGGCTGGAGTGGAGTGAGCAGGGTGGGCCAGGGGTGAGGGAGAACAGGCCAGAGAGGGGGATTAGCAGCAGGTCTTGTAGGGCCTTTTATGGCATGGAAGGAGCTCTGAAGCAATGAAGTGCCTTGCCGTGTGTCACATACCAGCCGAGACAGTCTGCCTAACTCGGGAGCCAAAGCTCGCTGGTGGGCTTGAGGCCCCTGTAAGACAGCAATGTAACCCAGGCTGGTATGGGCACATTCTGCATTTCCACTTAAACTCAGATGGCAAGCCCATCAAACCTTGGTGCCATGGCTGCCCTGGTAATTCCTGGCTGACCAGTGTAACCAGGGAGCTGGCCCATGACCTGGGTGGCAACTGAGTAGCCAGGACTAATGCGGCCAAGAGTCAGCCTTCTTCCTGTGACTCATCCAGGTGCACTCTGCGACATCTGAAGGTCAGGCTTTCAGCCGCTGTGGCTTCCACTTCCAACTGGCTCCACGTCCCCAGGGAGGGATCACATAGAGCTTTGCCAACACATTCTATTGCGTGTTTTAATGTTCCTGTGAATGTGCCCTTGAGATTTCTCTCTCTCCCATCCACACAGAGCTTAGAGGCAAAGTTAAGAGACTCATCAGATTCTGAGCTGCTGCGGGATATTTTGCAGAAGGTAAGAATCCCAGAGTCCCTGGGACTCATGACCCTGCCGCCTGAATCTCTCCGGAAGACCTGAAAGAAGCAGCACAGGTGTGCTTGTACCCTTTAAAAACAGCCCTCTTCAAAGAACAAAACCATTGAGTCAGCACTGCAGGAGGGTGTCAGCACCTCCCACAGCTCCTGCGCTTTCGTTTTCTATCTAAGACTTAGACAAAGACATCAGAATATACAAAAATCTGCAAGAGGGGGGAAATCTAGGGAATGTTTTTTAAACCATCCACAGCAAAAACAGAGATGACAGGTGCAAAACAGCTTCTAGCATTTGGTAGATGCTCAGAGACTTTCTTTTTGCATTTATGAGGCCTGTCCCGCCCACTCCTGTCTCTTCTAGACCTAAATGGGCCCTTGCTTTGCCCAGGGTAGGGTTTGGACTCAAGTGCATCTGCATGCAGGTGAGAGCCAGGATCACCACCCGGCCCAGCCACAGGCTGACCTTGGCCTTGAGGGCCAAGTGCAGATCACCCTGCATCCTGGGTCTTCACCTTCGAAGGGCCATGAGCCCTTCTGAAAAGACAAAGCAATAGACTCCCTCCCAGAAAGAAGTGCACCAGAAGAATACATTTTCCATACAAACTCAGGGGAGGCAGACATCCTCCACCCTCACCCACCCAGCCCAATCCTAGGAGCCCCGGGGAAGAATTCCTGTGCTAGAGGTGAATCAAGATTATCCACGTGGAAAAGATGCAGCCACAGCAGGGAAGACTTTTGGGGCAATACAGTAGGTCAGGGCTTCGAGCATGGAGATACCTGAAGTTATCTCGCACCTTGCTCTGAGTTTCACCCTGAGCCTCACTCTCGTAGGTGGTGAAGCATGAGATGTAGGGAGAGCTGCTTTAAAACCCAGCACAAGGCTGGGTGCACTGGCTCACACCTGTAATCCCAGGTCTTTGGGAGGCTGAGGTGGACGGATCACCTAAGGTCAGGAGTTCAAGACCAGCCTAACCAACATGGCAAAAACCCATCTCTGCTAAAAATAAAAAAATTAGCTGGGCATGGTGGTGCACGCCTATAGTCCCAGCTACTCGGGAGGCTGAGGCAGGAGAATCGCTTGAACCCAGGAGGCAGAGGCTGCAGTGAGCCAAGATCGGGCCACTGCACTCCAGCCTGGGCAACAGAGTGAGACTCTGTGTCAAAACAAATGAAAAACCAGCACCAGCATGAAGAGCCTGTGTATTGCGTGGGGTACATTGCTGCCCTTGGGCAGAATCTGCATCCCTCCCAGCCAGCAGGCACTGCGGACCGTCTCCTCCCTCTCCTTCCAGGCTCCTGTTTTCCCACCGTCCCCCCTCCTGCTGCACAATTCCCTCTGCCCTCCTTTCCAAGTGCCAGCCCGTGGCCACCTCAGAGCTTGCACAGGCTGTTCCCACTGCCTGGAACTTGCTCATCCTGCACTTGGCTTCTCTCGGCTTTAGCTGGAGTCACCCTGAGATTCCCCTCCCCTCCATCCTGTCCCCAGGGACACACGCTCCAAGAGAGCAGTTGCCGAGTGGGCCTTCCCGCCTCTTCCATAGAGCCAGACAGTTGGCGACTGTCCTTACTGCAAACCCTGGTTCACACTGGCTCCCGTGGGAGGGAGGTGGTTTGGGCCCACATGCCCTGTGTTCCTGCTCAGAATGGGCATTAGAAATGCTGCCATAGCCTGTGCCACTGCAGTGGAAGCATTTTTAGGAAATGGCTTATATCTTAAGACAAACTTCAGATGCGTGGGGCCAGAACGCTTTGTCCATCTGCATCTTTGCTGAGGGATTGGGTAGCCTGGAGTTTGCCCTCTGCTGTGTTGGCTTGAAGCTCATAGGAGACTTAAGACGGGCTCTCGAGCAACCAACGTTCTGTCCTTTGCTGTAGACTGTGAAGCATCCCGTGTGTGTGAAGCACCCGCCATCAGTCAAGTATGCCCGGTGCTTTCTCTCAGAACTCATCAAAAAGGTCAGTTATGGGCAGTGTCCACCCAGTAGCCGGACAGCATAGCCACCGGCGTGCTGCACACCCCGTCCTTCCCAGGCCCTGGGCGTGCTTTGCAAACCCCAGCATGGCAGGGGCCTCCCCAGGCAACTGGCTGCAGCTGAGTGTGACCCATGGGAGACAGTGCAGGGCGGGAAGAAGGGGAGGCCAGCGTCTCTCCCTCACTCTGCTTCCTGGGGTTTACACAGCAGCTGCTTCTCTGGGGCCCCATCTCCTAGCATATGAATTCTCATTCCTACCAGGCTGGTCCAGCAAACAGCACTGGGACGCTCACTCATACCCTCTGTCCTGCCCGCCGAAGGGTTTGGAGTTTCCTGCTCTTGTCCATCTCTGGGTTGCCCCACGGGCCACTGTTGGAAGATTTAGCTCTTGCCATACCTTTGGAACTGGTTCCTCTGGTGAATTCTCTGCATTGATCCTGCTGGAATGAGCTCTTTCCTGACTGACATACGATGGATTTTATTTTTTACTTATTTATTTACTTTTTTGAGACAGTCTCATTGTGTTGCACAGGCTGGATTACCGTGGCACAATCTCGGCTCCCTGAAACCTCTGCCTCCTGGGTTCAAGCAACTCTCGTGCCTAGCCTTCTAAGAAGCTGGGACTACAGGCACACGCCACCATGCCTGGCTAGTTTTTGTATTTTTAGTAGAGACAGAGTTTCACCATGTTGGCCAGGCTGGTCTCAAACTCCTGACCTCAGGTGATCCGCCTGCCTCGGCCTCCCAAAGTGCTGGGATTACAGGCATGAGCCACCACACCTGGCCTAGGATGGATTTTAAAGGTGGGCCCTAACATGCAGGGTTTGACATGAGGATGTCGAGAGGCCGTTCCTTAGTAGGCAGTAGCAGACCTGCTGAGTGAAAGGGCCACACTTTCAGCAAATAAACAATCCCCTGCTTCTCCAATACCTGCTTTCTCCCTAGTTCTCTCCAAAAGGGTGCATCTGTGGTCACCAGCAGGTCTGCCCTGTGCCACCAGGAGAGGGCAGCAGTCACCCAGTGTACCCTGCTGCTGCCCTGAGAATTGTAGGACGGGGCCAGCTGTGGAGAAGCAGCCTGCTGACAGCCACAGCCTGCAGCATGGGCCGCCCTCACAGTTCTGCCTGGGCTCACTTAAAATCACCTTTCGTTTTCCTCCTCTCTGTGTTTGATCCAAACACAGAGCTCTCTGTCATGGTCACGTGGCAGCTCTCACGGAATCCTTGTCTCCTGCCCTAGACTACACCTAACCCTACCCTCTCAACACCTCTTGTTGAAGGCCCTCCCGTCCAGGTTTCCCTACCAAGTGGAATTATTTTTTTTTTAGAGACAAGATCTCTGTTGCCCAGGCTGTCCTCGAACTCCTGGGCTCAAGCAGTCCTCCCACGTCAGCCTCTAGAGTAGCTGGAACTATTCGGCACACAACACCACACCCAACGAAGTGAATATTTTATATACCAGCTGGCCGGTATTACACCATTCCATCCCAAATCTCCCCTCCAAACTTGGTGAAAATCATCTGACCATTTTTACAGATTAGAACGAAAGCAAACAAGCTCTCACTCTGTCTGCCCCCAGCACGAGGCTGTCCACACGGAGCCTTTGGACGAGCTGTACGAGGTGCTGGCGGAGACTCTGATGGCCAAGGAGTCCACCCAGGGCCACCGGAGCTATTTGCTGGTATGAGAAGGGCACCCTCCTCCCCCTCACAGCCCAGATACCCTTCCTGCACAGACAAAGTGAAAACGTGGGTGTGGGTTCAAATCCTGACTCACCCATTCTGCAGTCTTAGATATGAGGTCCATTAACCTTCTTTAGCCTCAGTTTCCCTGTCTGTAAATCAAGCACTTCAACAACAACAGCATGTCTCATGGGGTTGTTGGGCATTTGTCTAATAGGTGACACACACTACCTGCTTCACAAGGACCCGGTGCCCAGTCCTCAAAGAATACTTGACAGGGCTGGACATGGTGGCTCACGACTGTAATCCCAGCACTTTGGGAGGCCGAGGCTGGTGGATCTGAGGTCAGGAGTTCGAGACCAGCCTGGTCAATATGGTGAAACCCTGTCTCTACTAAAAATACAAAAATTAGGCCAGACGTGGTGGCTCATACCTGTAATCCCAGCACTTTGGGAGGCTGAGGCTGGGGGATCACCTGAAGTCAGGAGTTTGAGACCAGCTTGGCCAACATGGTGAGACTCCATCTTTACTAAAAATACAAAAATTAGCAGGATGTGGTAGTGGGTGCCTGTAATCCCAGCTACTCTGGAGGCTGAGGCAGGAGAATCTCTTGAACCCAGGAAGTGTATGTTGTAGTGAGCTGAGATCAAGCTATTGCACTCTGGCCTCAGCAATGAGAACGAATCTCTGTCTCAAAAACAAGTATAAAAATTAGCTGGACATGGTGGCACACGCCTGTAGTCACAGCTACTTGGGCAGCTGAGGCAGGAGAATTGCTCGAACCCAGGAGGCAGAGGTTGCAGTGAGCCAAGATCGTGCCACTGACTCTAGCCTGGGTGACAGAGCTCAAAAAAAAAATAAGATAAAACATAGATACAGAAAACCACAAAGGACAAACATAGCATATTGAATCATCACAAGGCAGCCACCACTTCGTAGCCACACCCGGCCCCTGGCCACCACTGACCTGTGCTCCATCGCCAGAATTCCATTGTCTCAGAAATGTGGGATGAATGGAATCCTGTGTGGCCTGAGATGAGTGTCTTTCATGCCACATGACACCCTTGAGGCCCGTGCAAGCTGTTGGCATGTCAACAGTTAGCTGCTTCTCATTGCTGAGTGGTGATTGGTCCTGTCATGGTTTATTCAGCCATGCGGTGGATGGCTACTTGTCTTCTAAGCCACTTGCCTTCTGATCGCTGGACTGACTCTCTCACCCTCTCTTGGTGCAGCCCTCGGGAGGCTCGTTCACACTTTCCGAGATCACAGCCATCATCTCCCATGGTACTACAGGCCTGGTCACATGGGACGCCACCCTCTACCTTGCAGAATGGGCCATCGAGAACCCAGCAGCCTTCACTAACAGGTGACCTCGGGGCACAGGGCAGGGCACCAAGGCAGGCTTACCCTGGTGCAGTCGAAGACACGCTCCCCTTTCTTCCCACCAGGGGTGTCCTAGAGCTTGGCAGTGGCGCTGGCCTCACAGGCCTGGCCATCTGCAAGATGTGTCGCCCCCAGGCATACATCTTCAGCGACTGTCACAGCCGGGTCCTCGAGCAGCTCCGAGGGAATGTCCTTCTCAATGGCCTCTCATTAGAGGCAGACATCACTGCCAACTTAGACGCCCCAGGGTGACAGTGGCCCAGCTGGACTGGGACGTAGCGACAGTCCATCAGCTCTCTGCCTTCCAGCCAGATATTGTCATTGCAGCAGGTAATGCCCAGCCCCGGGCATCCTGTGCAGGCGGTGTCCTTGCAGCATTATCCAGCTTTTAGCTCTGGGAAAAGGGAACAATGGATGCTGTCGGGCATGGATATGATGGGGTTTCCAGAAGAGTTACTCTGGACCTCCAGGGTGACATCAAAGGACAGCGGTGCCTCTTAAGGTGACCTTCAAGCCACAGCCCTATTGTTGGAGACAGGTATACTCCCATTACAGTGGTCACCACATGGCTCTGTCCCAGAGCCATGCCCTGTGTCCTTCAGAGACCACAGGAGAAAAACAACCACTTCTGGGACGAGGACAGGGCCCTTGAGAAAAGGTGGTGTTTGGCTGGGCCACCGAAAACCCCTCACCCCTGCCAGCACACTCAGTCCCCTCTCTGGTGGAACAGAGCTCTGCCTGTGGCCCTGGGTCCCAGCCCTGAAACCCACAGGTCCAGCGGTGGCCAGGGACACAGGCCCACCCCTGCAAGCCAGCAGACCAAACGGCAGACACCTGAAACAAGAAGTTCACGGTAGGGTCAGGCTTTCTGTCATTCAAAGCCCTCTAGATAGGCCGAGAACCAGAACTGTTTTTTTTTTTAAGGAACACCAGTGAGTCTGGAGATTTTTTTTCTTTTGCTTCGGTCTTTTGCAGCTTTCTCTACTAAGGGTTCTCCTTTTTCACCCAAGTAATTGCCTTTCAATCTAATGGCCCAAAAGGTCAAATGGCATCTAATAGTCTCATATGAGCGCTGCCTCTCTGGCCTCGCCCTGCTGCTGAGGTCAGCATGAACTGGAACTTTCCACTTGTCCCTTTCAGTAACCTGAAGTTTTCACTGTAGACGTGCTGTATTGCCCAGAAGCCATCGTGTCACTGGTCGGGGTCCTGCGGAGGCTGGCTGCCTGCCGGGAGCACAAGCAGGCTCCTGAGGTCTACCTGGCCTTTACCGTCCGCAACCCAGAGACGTGCCAGCTGTTCACCACCGAGCTAGGTGAGCCCACACGCCCACCCGGGCCTGCATGGTCTCCGAGCTGTCCCTGCAGAACTCCAGTGGAAGTGAAAGAACTGGGCGCCGGGGAAAAGCTAGGATGCCCCACACTCGCACACCATGCGGGGAACTTGGGCAGAGGCCAGTGAGCAGGGTGGGCTTGGGGCGTGGGGGGCTTGCGGCAGGAGGAGGGCAGCTCAGCACAGGAAGGGAGGGTCTGAGCCCAGCAGCCCTACTATGTGTTTCAGAGTAGGGTTCCCTAAGCCCTTGGGCCTCGGTTTCCTCATCTATAAAATGGAGGTGGTGGGAGGGGCAGTTGGGGTCAGGGCTGGACACAGCTGTGGCCTGCAGGATGCTGGAGCACAGGCTGTACAGGCGGATCTACCATGCCACTGTCCTGAGCACCCAGTCGATGGAAGACGAGCAGGGTGACTATAGAGAAGGGGAACTGGCCCCGTAGTGGGCCAGCCACTGTCCTCAGACCTGATATTTGTCAGCCCCCAACACCTGTGAGGGTGTGCTGTCATTGTCCCATCTCACTGACAAAGACACTAGGACACACAGAGGCCAAGCGACCCCCGAGCTCCCGCACACTGCAGCCCGGCTACCTGGCTCTCGTGCCTCCACACTACACCCAAGCCCCCATTTGCCACCAGCCTCTGCCCCAGCTCCCCCTGAGCATAGCCCCTCCTGGAAGCCATGTGCACAGATGCACCCGCAGCAGCCTCTGCCTGCACACAGAGACACGGACAATCCAGTGCCTGTCCACGTGGGGCAGCCCGTTAACTACAGAGCCAACAAACAAGCCAGCACACGAAGACATACTGGGTTCCACGACAGAGTCCAGCACAACCTCGCACAGGAGGCTGGCTGGGCACGGGGCTCAGGCCTGTCATCCCAGCACTTTAGGAGGCTAAGGCAGGAGGACTACATGACCCCAGGTGTTCAAGACCAACCTGGGCAACATAGTGGGACCCCATCTTCACAAAACATACAGAAACTAGCCAGATGTGGTTGCACACGCCTGTAGTCCCAGCTACTCGGGAAGCTGAGGTGGGAGGATGGCTTGACCCCAGGAGGTGGAGGCTGCAGTGAACCCTGATCTCACCACTGCACTCCAGCGTGGGCAACAGAGCAAGACCCTGTCTCAAATAGCAAAAATCAAAAAAAAAAAAAAAAAAAAAGGAAGTCTTTCTTCAGATACTTACGTGAAAAAAAACCTGCAATATCTTTTAAGTGAAAAAAACAGTGCCAAGCAGCACACATAGTATAAGCCCTCACCAACGTTTTTTTTTTTGTTTTTTTTGTTTTTTTTTTTTTTTTTTCTGGGACAGAGTCTGGCTTTGTATTGCCCAGGCTGGAGTGCAGAGGTGCCATCTCGGTCCACTGCAACCTGCCACCTCCCAGGTTCAAGCTATCCTCCCATCTCAGCCTCCTGAGTAGCTGGGACTACAGGTGCGTGCTACCACGCCTGGCTAATTTTTGTATTTTTTGTAGAGTCGAGGTTTCGCCATGTTGGCCAGGCTGGTCTTGAACTCCTGATCTCAAGTGATCTGCTGCCTCAGCCTCCCAAAGTGTTAGGATTACAGGCGTCAGCTACTGCGCCCAGACCCATTTTTGTTTAAAAACTAATAATAGTCACCCACACATAGTTATGAGTACCTATATTCCCAACTACTCAGGAGGCTGAGACAGGAGGATGGCTTAAGCCCAGGAGTTTGTGGCCACCTTGAGCAACATAGCAAGACTTCATCTCAAAAAAAAATTATCACAATCATCATTTTCACATAGGTATACCTATAGGGGAAAACCTAGAACATATATATAGCAGGCTTGTCCAACCTGCGGCCCAACACAAATCTGTAAACTTTCTTAAAACAATATGAGATTTTTTTTGTGATTTTTTTTCTTTTAGCTCATCAGCTGTTGCTAGCATTAGTGTATTTTATGTGTAGCCCAAGGCGATTCTTCTTCTTCCAATGTGGCGCATGTAGGCCAAAAGATTGGACATCCCTGATATACACGTTAACAGGTGCCATCCTTGGATGGCAGGATTATAGAGATTGCTACACCTTCATGTCTATACTACTTCATTTTCATAAATACGCATTTTCCACTCGTAACAAAAAAACCGTGATTGAAAATCATCCCGGGTCGCAGTGCCTCATGCCTGTAATCCCAACACTGTAAGAGGCTGAGGCTTTGGGAGGCTGAGGTGAGCAGATCACCTGAGGTCAAAAGTTCAAGACCAGCCTGGCCTACACGGTGAAACCCCATCTCTACTAAAAACACAAAAATTAGCCAGGCGTGGTGGTGCACGCCTATAATCCCAGCTACTCAGGAGGCTGAGGCAGGAGAATCACTTGAACCTGGGAGTTGTTGCAGTGAGCTGATATTGTGCCACTGCACTCCAGCTGGGGAACAGAGTAAAACTCCATCTAAAAAATAATAATAAAAGAGGCTGAGGCAGGAGCATCACTTGAGGCCATGGGTTCAGGACCCCATCTCTACAAAATAAAAAAATTACTGGCATGGTGACATGCACCTGTCATCCCAGCTAGTCAGGAAATGGGAGGATTGCTAGAGCCCAGGAGTCGAGGCTGTGGTGAGCAATGACTGTGCCACTGCACTCCAGCCTGGGTGAAAGAACAAGTTCGTATCTCAAAAAAAAAAAAAAAAAAAAAAAAAAAAAAGAATCATTCTGGATAATGGCTCTTCAGACATCTGTGCTTATGAGAACACCAGCCCCTTCTAAGCTTTGTGTGTGTGTGTATGTGTGTGTGTGTTTTGAGATAGAGTCTCACTCTGTCACTCAGGCTGGAGTGCAGTGGCACAATCTCGGCTCACTGCAACCTCCGCCTCCTGGGTTCAAGCAATTCTCCCGCCTCAGCCTCCCAAGTAGCTGGGATTACAGGCATCCGCCATCGTGCCTGGGTAATTTTTGTATTTTTGTAGAGATGGGGTTCCACCACGTTGGCCAGGCTGGTCTCGAACACCTGACCTCAAGTGTTCCGCCGGCGTTGGCCTCCCAAAGTGTTGGGATTACAGGCATGAGCCACTGTGCCCGGCCACTTTCTAAGCTTTGTGAGTGGATTGACTAAGCAGCCAGGTAGATGTGGGTTCAGATGTCTGCTTCTGTCCTGCTATGCCAAGGGCTGGGGCAGACGCGGGCAGAGAGTGGACAGCAGCATGGTGCCTGCTGCTAGCCATTTCTATGCAAAACCAGATTTCTGGTCCCATCCTGGAGGCCAATTCTAGGTACCTGGGTGGGCCTGGGAAGCTGTGAACAAAGTAAACTGACTTAGGCACCCTCCACCCCGCCAGGCCTGTCCTAGCAGCCCCACACAATACGCTCATGTCCTGTCCCCAAACACCGCCATCCTCAAACACGTGCTCTGTTTCCAGGCTGGACTGGGATCAGATGGGAAGTGGAAGCTCATCATGACCAGAAACTGTTTCCCTACAGAGAGCACTTGGAGATGGCAATGCTGAACCTCACACTGTAGGACTCACACACGACTCCAACGGGCTTGTGAGAATTAAGTCACTCTCGTGGGAAGAATTTTTATATGGGAAAGCGGATAAAACTTTCATTGCACTGGAATGTTTGGAAAATGTTAAATTCCAAATCAGGAACCACAAACTGCCCTCTAATAAGACATTGGCTATCTAAGCATGTGGGTGCCCCCTTTCTGCCAGCAGTTCTGGTTCTTAAGAAAATCACCATAAATCAGACATGAAAATTCTGGCTCCAAAAATAGCATTTTCTTTGTGCAAATAAAAACGAGTGTATCAAGTATGACGTTCCCCCAACGTGGACACACTTGTTTCCTCAGAAAGCCAAACCTGCTGCAGCTGCCACATCCCTGGACACACTCGTTTCCTCACAAAGCCAAGCCCGCTACAGCTGCCACATCCCTGGACACACTCGGTTCCTCACAAAGCCAAGCCCGCTGCAGCTGCCACATTCCTGGGCTTATGGTGCAGCAGGTGCTTTTTTCAAGACAGGAATCAAAGTGTAAGGAACATGGCAGAAAGGTGACACCTGGAGACCAAATGCAGGATGAGGAGTACTGCAGAGGTCACAGGGAAGTCACAGAACAGTAATACGCTGGCAGGGGCATGGGGCATGAAGAACAGAAGAAGACAGGAAGCACTTCAGAGACTCCAAAGAAGAAATCAGGGCCAACCACAGCTTCCCGGGTTATTCACCAGGTGGCACCACTGCTGTCATTTCAGCTTCTGGCCACTGGGAGGCGCTGCTTGAAAGGGTTTGCCCTGAGACTCCGAGAAGAAGCTGCGGGAAGGACAGCAGGGGCCCTGGGGTTTTAGCCTCTGGCCCAGGACTTATGTGTCCATAACCAAAGGAAGCACAGTCTGCACCCAACTCTCATCCCATCGGAGCTGCTGCGACTCCCGCAGGTTCTTCCAGAACTGGTTTAGCTTGCCTGCAGGATCAGGGAAGTTTGAGAAAAGCATCTGCAAAATACTAAAGAGCAGAGCTTACCTCATTTCCTGTCCCCACCCCATCCCAGGTCACCACCTGGCTGACCCCAGGTCCCCGACCCAACAACAACCCCTCCCAAGTCCCTAACTCCCTTACCTGGACTTGAGACCCTTCACACCCCAGCAGTGCTCCGCCTCCAACTTGACATCATGCTTTCTGGAAACTTCCCCGTGTGTCCCACTTTCCCACACTTGGTGCGCTGGAGCACCTTCCGGCCTCTACATGCTGTACGTTCCCCTGTGAGCACCCTCCTCTCGGCCTCTGGCCAACACAGTCCCACCCATCTGTGGGTAACAAGGGGGTGTGGGTGTTCTTTTCAGCCTTGCTAAACTGTCTGAATCAAGGATCA
This sequence comes from Homo sapiens, assembly GCF_000001405.40. Taxonomy (NCBI): domain Eukaryota; kingdom Metazoa; phylum Chordata; class Mammalia; order Primates; family Hominidae; genus Homo; species Homo sapiens. The sequence continues at coordinate 9,166,806 of NC_000004.12, forward strand.
CAAACTACAGCCTTCAGGCCAAATCCAGCCCACAGCCTGTGTTTGTAAATAAAGCTTTATTGGAACAAAGCCACACCCCTTAATCTACAGATGATCTGTGGCTACTTTCACGCCACAACAGAGTACCATGGTTCTGACAGAGACTGGGGGACCCAGTCTAAATGACTTCCGACCTGGACCTTTACTGAAAATCCTCCCAATCATTCTGTTGACAAGAATGATGTATTACTTTTTGCAATAAGAAACAAGTAACATTTGCAGAATTCCACCCATCTTTCAAGGCTGGTCCCAGAAGTTCCCTTTGCCCACACACCTACCTGATCCTGACAACTTCCTAAACTGCAGCCCTGCCCACCCGGCTCCAGCATCATTTGTGGAGTGTCAGCTCCATAAATCCAGAGGGCAGGTGGGGGTGTGTCCTAACATTCCCGAGCCTACTGTACCGAAACGGGACAGCAGAGTAGGCCAGCATCTGTGACTTCTGCTCCCTCACTAGCTTTTCCACCAGACCCCACATGTTACCACCCTGGCTGTGGGAAGCAGGGATCAGGGAGTGTGGCTCGGTGCCCGTCTCCAGAACCCTGCCCACCCTGGCGTGGTGGCAGACATGGTTACCTGCAGCTGAGCTGCCAGTTCCTCTGAGTCCTCAAAGACCAGGCCGTTTTCTTCATGTTTCACTAGCTCATGTAAACTGCAGAGAGAACCAAGGGAGCCTGAGAGCTGCCTGGGGAAGACACCAGACCCCTGGGGTGCCCAGCTTGCCTCCCACCCACCCCACGCTCAAGCCAGGCTGGGGGTTGGAACAGGGGGTGTGGTTTCTGGGAGCTGGTTCTTAGATTTGGCATCTGAAGCATATAAAGGTCTGGGGGAGTGCACATCAAAATGGCCAAATCAATTTGAGGAGGGAGCCTTAAGGAAGGTTTGTACGTTCTGTGCTGGATGCTCTTCAAGTACTGAAGAATTATTTTTGCATGTTTTTCTTAATTCCATGGCCATGGAACAAGTAAAGGCAACCCCCTGGGGACTGGTTCAGCACATAAAAGATGACTTTTCTAGGACACCAGATTTGATCCCGACATTCCCTGAGCTCAGCTCACATGAGGGGCTCGAATCCCTGAATCCCATCCAGGAGCCGGCTCCTGAGCAGGGGCCAAGGGCTCAACTTGTGCTGGGGCTACTGCTTCTAGAATCTCCTCTAACGCCACCCTTCCAAACACCCATCTATGCTGGGTGGAGTGAGGCCACAGTATGACACTCATTTAACTCATTCAAACCCACCATGTGAGCTTGGCCAAAAGGGACATGGTGGGAGAGAAAAACAAAGAAAACCATGTAAGCCTGCAGACAATTCCCGCCAATTCTACTCTAGGAGCAAAAGCCCCGAGTGGAGTTCTAGTATTTAAGGTGCTTTCTTTTTTCATATTAGGTTGGTGCAAAAGTTATTGCCATTTTTAATGGCAAAAACCGTGATTACTTTTGTACCAACCTAAATATAACATGAGTTCTAAATGGAAGCAACTACTTCAGTGAGGCTCAGCCCAGCCACAGTAACCACAGGTCTCCTCCTCGTGGCCTCCAGTGTGTGCTGGACTGACCGAAGGGCAGGGCCTCACTGTGGGCAGCTCACTGCACTGATTCCCCCTCAGCGGTGGATCTGTGAAGCTATCCCCAGAAAGATTCGGGTTCTGCTCCTACCACTTGAAGTTCACGGCACACACAGGCAAACAGCTCCTGAACATGTCCACCACCTTCATGGGCAGGCCCAGGCCACTGGAGGAGGTGTCCAGACAGACACCCAGGTCCACCGACCCTGCTAGGCAAGAGGGGTGGGTTAGAGCGCTGGTCTCCGCCCTGGGAACAAAAATCCTCCCAGCATAGTGAGACAACATCCCCCGAGGGGAGTGAAAATTGGATAAAGCCCCCGACATCCCCAAGCACAAGTGGCTTAAGCTGGCCAAGCAGCCACACGGCCTGGCTGGGACATCTGAAAATGTAAGTTGACACTTTTTCTACGTAACCACAATTTGTTTTTTTTGTTGTTGTTGTTTTGTTTTGAGACAGAGTCTCACTCTGTCACCCAGGCTGGAGTGCAGTGGCACAATCTCAGCTCCCTGCAACCTCCACCTCCCAGGTTTACCTCCCGCCTGTAATCCCAGCATTTTGGGAGGCCAAGGCGGGTGGATCACCTGAGGTCAGGAGTTCAAGACCAGCCTGGCCAACATGGTGAAACCCCATCTCTACTAAAAAAAAAAAAACAAAATTAGCGAAGCGTCGTGGCAGGTGCCTGTAATCCCAGCTACTCAGGAGGCTGAGGCAGGAAAATCGCTTGAACCCGGGAAGGCAGAGGATGCAGTGAGCCAAGATTGCGCCATGGCACTCCAGCCTGGGCTACAAGAGCGAAACTCCGTCTCAAAATAATAATAATAATAATAATAATAATAATAATAATAATAATAATCCACAGCACACCCACCACAAACCAGCTGTCAGTGTGAAAATAAAGCCAAATAGCTTAACATTTCTAAAGACTAGCTGGGTCCAGGCATGATGGGTCACGCCTGGAATCCCAGCACTTAGGGAGGCCAAGGCGAGAGGATCACTTGAGGTCAGGAGTTTAAGACCAGCCTGGCCAACATGGTGAAACCCTGTTTCCACTAAAAATACAAAAATAAGCCAGGTGTTGTGGCGGGCTCCCATAATCCTGTAATCTACTTGGGAGGCTGAGGTGGGAGAATCGCTTGAACCCAGGAGGCGGAGGTTGCATGAACTGAGATCGTGCACTCCAGCCTAGGCAATGGAGCAAGACTATCTAAAACAAAGACTAGCTGGAGAATCCTGCCAGGAAAAGGCCCTCGGCCGCCAAGTGCTCTGCTCACTCGAAGCTGGAAGATGCGGCTCTAGAGACGTATCAGGTCCAAGCCACGACTCCCAACTTGGAGAAATCAACGGGGAAAGAGACAGAGGCAAAGGAGAACCATCTCACTGGGAGAGGCGACGCTGTTTGACACATCGTCCCTGCACCTCCCAAAGCCACTGCCCTCCCACACCTGGGCAACAGTGGCCCCAACCCCAGGCCCAGCCCTCCTGCAGGAAGGAAGAGGGCTGAATAGAAGGTGTGGCAGGCTGAAAGGACGTGGCCTCCTCAAACCCATTGGTAAAGGGCCTCTGGGGCCACCTGGCAGGGAGGGGCTGGCACACCAGGAAGTAGCCTCCTCCCGGGAGTTGAGCCAGAGCCCAGATCCTCTCCCCAAGTGGCCTCCAGAGCCACCTTTTCAGAAAAAGTACATCCTGCCCACCCCTGCTCCCCCTGCTTAAGGCCCTGCCTCCTCCCTGAGCCTCCTGCTGGCCTCTCACCTAGAAGCGGGGGTAGTCCTCGGCCCTCCAGCCAGGGGGTGCAGACCTGGATGTGCTGGAAATGCTACTGGTGGATGAGGCGGCTGTAATACTCCCTCAGAGGCCCTTTGCCTTCACAGAGAAGAGGAGACACTGCCATGGACCCGTCTCTGTCCCTGCCACATGGCCCCAGGCTCAAGACACTCCCCGCTAGGAGGGATCCTTTTCCCAGAAGCTCCACCCCTCGGCAGCTCTAGTCAGGCCCCATCTGGGCCCTTCCAGAAGCAACCCAGGAGCCCTGAGACCTGCAGGGGTGTGTGCACCCTGACCCTGAGGCATAGCCCTGCACCTGCAGCCAGCTGGCCTAGGGCTGCAAACATGGCGGTATAAGCACTGGCCTGGCACCCGACCGCCCACTGGGTGGATCCAGCCTTCTGTCTGTGTTGTGCGCAGGGGACACGAGGACTCCCCCTTCCCTGGCACAGCCCCCAGAGCACATGACGCAGGTTCCAAGCCGCCCCTGCCCTGCCACAGCCTCCAGAGCACATGGCGCAGGTTCCAAACCACTCCTGGGAGCCTAGAGGCCAGAGGAGGGAGGAGAGCAGGACCAGCAGCTGGCCCAGACCCCGCCTCTTCCCACACCGCTTCCGCTTTTCTCCCTCCTCACTGAGTCACCTTGAAAGGGCTCAGCAGCAGTAACTGTGGGACAGGGGCTCTTCCGTTTGAAAAATTAAAAGAGGCTTGGTTAAGGTACCAATGACATGGCCGGGCACAGTGGCTCATATCTATAATTTCAGCATATTGGGAGGCCAAGGAGAGTGGATCACCTGAGGTCAGGAGTTCAAGACCAGCCTGGCCAACATGGTGAAACACTGTTTCTACCAAAAATACAAAAGTAAGCTGGGTGTGGTGGGCACCTGTAGTCCCAGCTACTCGGGAGGCTGAGGCATGAGAATTGCTTGAATGTGAGACGCAGAGGTTGCAATGAGCTGAGATCGCACCACTGCACCGCAGCCTGGGCGACAGAGACTTTGTCTCAACAAAAAAAAAAAAAAAAAAAAAAAAAATAGACACCAATGACGAAACAAGAAAAAAAAAAAGATGCTTGGAAACTATTGAAAAAGTAGAAAGCTTGGTATCTACAGATTCACATCTGGGCTCCCTGCCCTGCTGTGAAACCCTCTGAGCCTCAGTTTCCCACATGTAAAGCAGTATAAGACCCTATGGCAGAGAGCTGCAGTGAGGATTAAGGAGACAAGATCGTGGGAAGCACAGGGTAAAGGCGGGGTGCCCCTCCCTGGACTCCAATGCCTGGAGTCGCAAGACGAGCTGAAAAAGGAGCCAGGCACTGAAGGAGAAAGAGGTGTTGACTTTCTTCATCTGTGTTTCCCAGTGCGGTCCAATTCACGGTGGTTTCCAAGCGCCTCCTGGAGAAGAAAACACATGAGGGTGTGGTCAGGGATCTCTGCTGACAGACTTACCTTGGGGAAGAAAGAGAAGCTCAGAAGATGGATCATGGCCGTGACTGCATGTCAAGGAGAATCTCCTTGATGACACTGAGGCCCACGTCGAGATAGAGTAAATATGGTCCAATTAAAAGGTGTCTATTTTACCACATTTTTTAAAACAAAACACAAAAACAAAAAAGATGGAAAAGAAGACAGGGGTACAGGCACCAGTGTTACATGTCTGACGGGGAACATCTATTCTTCAAAGCTTGCAGCTGTACACGTAGGTTTTAGAATGTCTGTCAGCAGTGGACATGATCTTAGAGTGGGCTGTGCAGATAGACCTTTCCAGGTCATGTAATTGGATTAAGTTAAGTGTAATTAACGTACATGTAACTGATTAGGTTAGGGTACGTTCCACGTCAGGTGACCAGAGGCAGTATAAAAGGCCGCCTGGAAAGTAGAGGTCCCTCTCTGCCCCTTCCTCCGTCTTCCTGGATGCTGCATCGCTTCCAGCGGGGCTGCTCCAGCACCTGCCCATCTCAGCGCCAGCCGGGGAAAGAAAGTAGACGTGTAATTTCAGGTTAGTTTCACTGAACAGTTGTTTGTTTCACGCAATCCCTGAGGGGTGGGGGGGAAAAGAGACAAAGGAGGCCGAAAGAAAGCGATCACACTGGGGCTTGCTGATGGGGTAGGGTGTGCTCTCGTTACTAGTAATTCTTGGAACAGAAAACGAGAAAGCATTTCCGTCTCCATGTGTGGGATAAGACCAAGGTGGGAATGCGAAAAGAAATGTACTGCAGCATGCTGAATTGGTGGGTAAATGGAAAAAGGACTTTGGAAAAAAGGGTGGTTTGCCCTTCAGCCGTGTAAGACGTCGATACGATATGGCACTTGTTCACCGTTTGTTTAGATGAATTCGTGTGGCATGTGTAAAATACCAGAAAAATAAATAAAGAGGGGCTGGAGCTAAAGCCAAAAAGATAGAACAGGAAAGACCATCACCTGCTAGTGTGGTAGAGAGGAAGATAACTTCTCTCTATGAATTTGTGTTTGGAAGTTGCCTAATGAAATGGCAGGAGTAGCGATTCAAGTTGTGACAGGAAGCATCCCTTATCCCATATTTCAAACAGACCTGCCAAAGGGTGACACACGCCATGCCCTGTGGCTTCGATCATTCTGTCCGTCAAGGGAGATAGAGTCATCGTGTCTTCTACCAGAGTGAATCGTGATAGACCTAAGTCCAGTTCTCCAGAATCAGTTGTTAGTTTGGGGTTAAAAGCTCAACTCCCCATACCTAGGCCACAGGCCCTGTGGCAGGTGAGGTTTACTCTTGCACTAGGTAAACATGGCAGAGGAACACACAATATCTGAGGATGCACACAGCACATTGTGTTCCACAGATTTGACCGACTGGTGGTGAGGTCTCCTCATGACCACACCGGCAAGGAGTTAGCGGGGGGGCTACCTGTGGGTGTGTGAATATCCAATGTGCTTAACCATCGACGTGTGTGTTTGTGTGTGTTTCAGGTGACCCAAAAATCAACCCCTGAAAAAGGCGGTCATAAAACCCCCAGGAGACGAAGATGATGGCATGTCGTGACCCCAAACCTGGGGCAAAGAGACTGGTGAGAGCCCAGACCCTCCAGAAGCAGCGGAGAGCCCCAGTTGGGCCAAGGGCTCCCCCGCCCGATGAAGAAGATCCCAGGGTAAGTCTAGCCCTGGAGCTCCTGTGTATCGGGGTGGGGGTGGGGGCCGGGGGAGGGGGTGTCACACGGTCCTCAGAGACTGGGTTGGATTCCAAAGAGTTCTGTCACCACCACCCAGGTTGCTTTTCCCATCCAAGGTGGGCGTGGCTTGGGACCTCCTCCCCGGACCGATAGACCCCTTGAGAGACTCTTGAGGGCAACCTCCCTTTCTACTTAGAGTCCTGTGTAGCCACGTTTGGCTGTGCTGTTGACATCGGGTTCACCATCGTGCCCCTTAGAACCTTGAGTCCTGCCTTTTAGAGTTCCTCCGTCACATGGGCTTTGGGAGGGAACATCGCATCCGAACTCTCTCAGCACTTAACGGCCCCCATGCCGGTGTCCCCTCTTTGGAATCCTTATTCAGCTCTGAATTCACAATCCGTCTCAATGTTGACGTGGGATCGCTGCCTGTGGCTTCAGCTCACTCACCGACATCACTTCCTTTCCACCCACAGCTCAAGTGCAAAAACTGTGGGGCCTTTGGTCACATGGCCAGAAGTACCAGGTGCCCCATGAAGTGCTGGAAGGCAGCCCTGGTTCCACCGACCTTGGGGAAAAAGGAAGGGAAGGAAAACCTGAAACCATGGAAGCCCCAGGTTGAAGCAAACCCGGGGCCCTTGAACAAGGATAAGGGAGAGAAGGAAGAGAGACCAAGGTGAGCAGTGAGAGGGGTTTTCACCACTCTTAGGGCACTGCCTCCTAAGGACATGGTGTCTGTGCACCTGCACACCGTGTGCCTTTCCGTCTCCGGGCCAGGGAAGCAACGCTGCAGAGAAATAGACCGGAGCTCCGTGTCCTCCGGGGTTCCACACCCAGGAGCTCCTTTGGCTCTGGGAGATTCAGGGACAGGGAGAGGCGGGGGCGCTTCGTGCAGGTTCCCCACGACAGGGGGAAAAGCGATGGAATCCAAATCACAGTCCTTAGTTGGGAGGCCTAGAGGGCCACCTGGAGGATGGGAAGGTTGGCACGTGAGGGAAGGTGCAGAGGCGGAAAGGGCACCAGATGTCCATTTCTGTATCACAAAACACGGAATGGGACTGAGCCCCAGACAGGGTTCTCCCTATCTCCTGGGGAAAACCAGGGGCCACGGCCTGACCTTTTTCTGTTCTGCAGGCAACAAGACCCGCAGAGGAAGGCTCTCCTCCACATATTTTCCGGGAAACCTCCAGAGAAGCCGCTGCCAAATCGAAAAGGATCCACGGAATCTTCTGTTTATCTGAGGGTGAGTGTCACTCTGGGCCCCTGGTCTTTTTGTCTTCTAGGTCACGCTGGTTGATTTCCTTTCAGCTTCCCGTCTGCGGGAGGGAATCGGGGAACCCCTCTTTCTTGCCTTCTTGGGGTCAGGGACTCCACGATCCTTCCAGGTCAATTTGATTCCAGGCGAAGGCATCTGAAGATGCCGTATTTCCTGTTGTTTTCTTTCTGTCCAATTATGGCAAGCCTGCCAACAACATGTTCCTAGCGGCATGAAGAAATTTGTCCCTCAGAGGCCACAAACATGGAGAAGGCTAAACCCTGGAAAATGCATGTGTTCAGAGAAGACGTCCTGAGTACCCTTGAGCCACCAACCTGCCTTCAGAAGGGCATTAGTCCCTTCCACTTCATGGAAGGCTGAGTGAAGGCGCTTTGATCCAGTTAATGCCCAAGACGCCATCTTTTGAACAATGATGTGCTTAGATCAGCTATACATAGCTCGAGAGCGCATCTTTCATGTGTCTTGTCCTGATCAGCACTCAGGTGGAGGGTCTGTCCCTACTTCCAAGGACCGTAAGAATTTCATGGCGTGTGCAGCCTGTCTTTGGATGTGGTTGATTTTCACGTTGGCTCCATGCTGAGGAGCTTCTAACCTGTGTTGTTTCCTTCCTTTCAGGTTGCAAGCGGGCCAATGCCGGTCCACACAACCAGTAAGAGGCCGCGTGTGGACCCTGTCCTCGCTGATCGCTCAGCTACCGAAATGTCTGACAGGGGCTCCGCCTTGGCTTCACTGTCTCCCCTCAGAAAAGCCAGTCTGAGCTCCTCCTCAAGTCTTGGACCAAAGGAAAGACAGACAGGGGCTGCGGCCGACATCCCTCAGCCTGCAGTCAGACACCAGGGCCCCGAGCCTCTCCTCGTGGTGAAGCCGACACACAGCAGCCCTGAGGGTGGCTGCCGAGAAGTTCCCCAGGCTGCCTCCAAAACCCACGGCCTGCTCCAGGCCATCAGCCCCCAGGCACAAGACAAACGTCCTGCGGTGACCTCACAGCCCTGCCCACCAGCCGCCACACATAGCTTGGGTCTAGGCTCCAATCTCAGCTTCGGGCCAGGAGCCAAGAGACCTGCCCAGGCTCCGATTCAGGCTTGCCTGAACTTCCCCAAGAAACCGAGGCTGGGTCCCTTCCAGATCCCCGAAAGCGCCATCCAGGGAGGTGAGCTGGGGGCCCCGGAGTATCTCCAACCTCCGCCGGCAACAACCGAACTTGGACCAAGTACGTCGCCCCAGATGGGCAGGAGGACACCCGCCCAGGTGTCCAGCGTCGACCGGCAGCCTCCGCACAGCAGACCTTGCCTGCCTACTGCCCAGGCCTGCACCATGTCCCATCACCCAGCGACCAGCCATGATGGGGCCCAGCCTCTCAGAGTGCTCTTCCGGAGACTGGAAAACGGACGCTGGAGCTCCAGCCTCCTGGCGGCCCCCTCATTTCACTCTCCTGAGAAGCCGGGAGCCTTCCTCGCTCAGAGCCCTCATGTCTCAGAGAAGTCTGAGGTTCCCCGTGTTCGTGTCCCACCGAACGTCCTCTATGAGGACCTTCAGGTTTCCTCCTCCTCAGAGGACAGCGACTCTGACCTGGAGTGAGACTGCAGGTGGCAGGGGCTCCTTGGCCTCCAGCTCCTGTGACTTGGAGGGGACTGTGGGACTGAGGAGCTCAGAGCAGAGAGCAGACTCTGTGCGGTGACTCCGAAGCTCCCCGGCTGTGGCGCTTCTGTGGATGTGGGAGCCCAGGCCAGGCAGGGAGCAGATGCAGGGATCTGCCTCATTGAATTCTGGTGAGGGACATTGTAGTTCGCATGGTTCTCCGGAAACGCGCCAGGAAAAGCTTCCGTGCCAGAGAGATTCGTTGCCTCAGAAACTGCGTGACGCGCAGGAGTCAGACTTCCGCTGGGACGTCAATAGGAAACTGGGGAATTACTGTGTATTTGCTCTCTAGATGACTGAATAAGGGAAAAGTTAGGGAACCCTGAGAGGTGCAGCCCTTCCGCTGTGCCCCGCCCTGAGAGCAGTGTTTCGGACGCTGGGAAGCGTGCTGTGCAAAGCGCTCTCGGGGTCTTTCCTCAGCCTCGAAAACTGGGCTCTGGAATGCCTTTGTAAATAGGTGTGTTGAATTTGTTTGGAAGTGAATAAAATTCTCAAAAAGATGACGTATTGTCTTTTGACTCTCATTCCGTGTTTGTGTTTAACTGATTTTCCAAGTGAAGGGGTGGCCTGCCCCTCCACACCTGTGGGTGTTTCTAGTCGGGTGGGATGAGAGACGGAGAAAAGAAATAAGACACAGAAACAAAGTATAGGGAAACAACAGTGGGTCCAGGTGACCGGCAATCAGCACACCAAGGACGTACACCGGCACCGGCCTCTGAGTTCCCTCAGTTTTTATTGATTATGATTTTCATTATTTCAGCAAAAAGGAATGTAGTAGGAGAGCAGGGTGATAATAAGGAGAATGTCAACAACAACAACAACAAAAAAAAAACATGTGAGCAAAAGAATCTATATCATAATTAAGTTTAAGGGAAGGTACTATACCTGGACGTGCACGTAGGTCAGATTCATGTTTCTCTCCACCTAAACATCTCAGCGGACTAAAGAATAACAAAGCAGCGTTACTGCCAACATGTCTCGCCTCCCGCCACAGGGCAGCTTTTCTCCGAGCTCAGAGTTGAACAAATGTACGATCGGGTTTTACACCGAGACATTCAGTTCCCAGGGGCAAGCAGGAGACAGTGGCCTTCCTCCATCTCAACTGCAAGAGGCTTTCCTCTTTTACTAATCCACCGCAGCGCAGACTCTTTACGGGTGTCAGGCGGGGGAACAGTCAGGTCTTTCTCATCCCACGAGGCCATATTTCAGACTATCGCATGGGGAGAAACCTTGGACAATACCCTGCTTTCAAGGGCAGAGGTCCCTGCAGCTTTCCACAGTGTATTGTGCCCCTGGTTTATTGAGACTAGAGAATGGCAATGACTTTTACCAAGTATACTGCTTGTAAACATTTGGTTAACAAGGCACGTCCTGCACAGCCCTAGATCCCTTAAACCTTGATTTTATACAACACAGGTTTTTGTGAGCTCCAAGTTGGGTCAAAGCGGCTGGGGCAAAGCTACAAATGAGCAACATCTCAGCAAAGCAATTGTTTAAAGTACAGGTCTTTTTCAAAATGGAGTCTCTTATGGCTTCCCTTTCTACATAGACACAGTGACAGTCTGATCTCTCTTTCTTTTCCCTACATCCAAGGGCTTGAAAGTTTCTTGACTTGTTAGCAATCCAAATCGTTATGTCTCCGAAACAGAGTTGACTGAGGGGACCGCAGGGCTGGGCAGGTGCTTTGACTTCGTATACATCCACAGGAGCAAGAAAACCTCAGCCCCATTCTACCAACACACACCTAGTAAAATTCTGCCAACCGAATCTCACGCACGCTAACACGTGGGGAGCGTTCCTTGTACCACGAGTCCCCATTTGGCTCAACCGCCGATGCCAAGTGTGTGGTTCCATTTGCGACGGCCCCCCGTGAAGTGGCTTCCGGATGTGCGAATGAACCAGGCAGAGTTTCACTAGCCAAATAGACCCCAGCAAAGGTGAAGTTAACTCCCACATTTGGGATGTACTTCAGAGGTAAAACGTTCATCCCGTCTTCTTTCCGGATGTCTGACACCGGGCCTTTCCATGGTTCTCCCCCTGATCCTAAGAGGAGCTGTAGTAGAGACTCACTGAAAGATCTAGGCAGGGATATCCCATCATGCACAGGCTCTCTCCATTCTCTGACCTGGGAACAACTCTGAGCAGGATTCCACATCTAGGAGGCCTCGGAACTGAGCGGGATTTTCTGAGACACACCAAATGGCTGCTCCCTTTCCGCCGCTGTTGAGGGTCGTTATCTTGATTATCCAGATCACCTAGAAAGTATCCGTATCCAGAATCAATAAGATCAACTCTCTGCTCCTCTGACAGCAGAAGGAGCAGGACCACAATGAACCAAAGAGCGTGGAAGGAAACATGTGACCGGAAAGCTCAGAGAAAGGCCACAGGGGGTCGTCAGCAGGCCTTCCAACCTGAATCATGAATAATTAATGAAGCGCAAATCAAAGGGGACCCGAGTTTCAGCAGGTGAAATTCATCCAACGGGAGATCGCTGGAGGGCCAACAAGATTGAGAAACTGGGAGTCGGGTGCAGTGTCAAGGGGGACGCGACTGGTTCCAAAGCTCAAGAAGACCATGGGGTCACTTGGGCTACATGAGAAAACGCCCCAGTGTGCTGGTTCATCATTCCGACTCCTGCCTGTCTCTTCCCGTCCAAGGAACATGGACCCTAACTCGTGCAGGTGCAGATGACCATGGGCAGAATTAGGGGACGAGGCACAAAAGTACAGGGACACGGGAGTTCCACAGAAGGTCCGGTGGATCTTCGCAAATCCAGAGAAATGGCAATGGGACCCAGGGAATTAGAGCCTCACAGGCGTCTAGGAGACTTTTCAGGCATAATGCCTGGAGTCTCAAGACGAGCTGAAAAAGGAGCCAGGCACTGAAGGAAAAAGCGGTGTTGACTTTCTTCATCTGTGTTTCCCAGTGCGGTCCAATTCACTGTGGTAGAATTCCTGTATTTATTTTCCGTCGGCTTGTAGTTGCAGACTTTTGATGTTATTGATTTTTGGTTGTAGAGTTTCTCTTTGAAAAAGTAGATATTCTGAAGATGGAGGTTGTCCAAGATTGTATCTCAAGGTGAGTCTACTTGATGCCAGCAAAGCATACTTTGACATATAATGCATATGTTTGAATTATATTTTGTCTTTTTTACCACATTTTAAAAAATCGCTTCATGAAAGATGTTACAGTTAGATACACCAATGTTAAATTTCTCATCACATGTCCAGAGGTACTGTAAAATGCAGTCTAGAATACAAAATTCCCAGCCACTTCTACGTGGAACTTTCTGCAGAGTGGGACTGTATCCAGCGTTTTCAGGGGGCGCAGTTGTGGTACGAGCTGGTCCTTGGCTTCCTGCTGAAGTTGGAATCCTGCATATTGCTTAGGGGTGGTTTCAGCCTGTCCCTTCTTTCCAGGTCGTCACTAACCTTTCCTGAGCCCCCATGGGGACTCAGAACTTATCTAGAGTCACAGGCCGGCCTGGGATGCTGCCCTTGAGCCTCTGTGCTGTCCATGATGGTTCCATGCCACTGGTCTGCTGGGACACATTCTGCAGAGGGATGGGCTGGCAGGAGCTGTCCCTGCCTTTCTGAAAATCACAGAGATTTCTGGTGTCTGAAGCCACATAGAAATATCTGTAGAGTCTCGGGAAGGCCAAGGATGCCATTCACAGGCTCCTGTTCTTCCTCTTAATGGCAGCAAGCGTGATTTCTGAGTTTCCTAATTGACTTTGAAATAATTTTGTTGATTTTATTGTGTCAAAGACCACTCCTCTTTCTGTGGCATCCAGTTCACCTGTAGGGTTTTTTGGGATTATGTGGAAACTCTTGCATTTTTCCAGAGCCTCACTTCATCATGAATGTTCTCAGGAATGCACGAGCTGATCCCTGCCTTGGTGGCATCTTGAAACATTGAGGGAGGCCCCTTAGGTCCAGGAGGCACTAGGAGGTCCCTCAGAAATTGAGAGGGCATGCGTCTGCCCATCTGTAGCTGGAACTTCTATTTGCCTTCAGAATGCAGATCCTTCCTGAACTAATAAATTATCTTCATCTTGGTGTAAGTAGCCACAATATAATAATTCATAGTAATTCTATTAATAAAAATAACTGAACATCAACAATGAAGATAATAATGACAATGTTAATTATTATAATACTAATAGTAAAAATAAAACAAAGGCATTAGAGATTAGAGATTCCCCTAAGTGAAGGACAATGTACAGATATAGGGACACATGAGTTGTTTGGACTCAGAGTCAAATGAAACATGTTCCTCAAAGGCAAAGGACAAACAGCATAAGGAAAACACAAAGTTCATGGATGACCACATGGGCTACCTTGGAACTCATGTGGAAACACTGCAGGCAAAGTGTACCTGGTACTGGGACTGCCCACCAGCCAGCCCCCACCCACCTTCATGAGGTAGGACAGCAGGATAATGGGGAAGGGGACCATGCAAGGGATGCAAGGCTCGTGTCACACCTGATTCAAAGAAGCACTGCTTCTGACAGATGTTTATCTCCTAACACTGTGTCACCTCTAACTGCCTGGCTGCATGTCTGCCATCTGTTCTTCTTAGGTCACAGGAGGGACAGACATTACTTTCCTCCTATCTGCATACAGAGCCATTGGAGGCTTCCTTGTTGCTTACCTTTGTTGCTTACCCTTGTTGCTTCCTCTTTGGAAAGGGGCAACATACATGGCAGATGCCATTCTCTGTCTCTTTGGAAAACTTTGTCAGCACATTTAAGGTTTTTTTCAGCCACAGAAAGCCACCTGCTTCAAAGTCTCATCCTCCACAAATGGCAAGCACACAATCATTAATGGAGGGGAGGGGTACATAGGCTTTGCCATTTGATTCAGTTGGGACAAATAGGGGAGGATTTCTTAGCTCTACAGCTCTGTCCGTGTGGCCAGGTGACAATGTCAGGCTGCACTGCCATTAGACTTGTCCCTTTGCACATAAGGCTTCCCTCCAATCCTTTCCACAGATGTGGATCCTCACATCACTTCCTAATAAACATCCTGCACACTAAACTTCATCTATATCCAGTTCCCTGGGAACCAAACCTGTGACAAAAGTGAAAAGTTTCTAGGGAAAATAGGGTTTCCTTATCAGACAGGAATCAAATTCTGCTGAGCTAGAAAATAAAGTAAAGTCTGATGCCATCTCATGATTTTTTTTATTAAGACATTACCACTGCCAGCAAGAATTATGTGCATCAATTTGTGGGGACAAACATCATATTGGAGTGGGATGAGATTGCTGTCGGTTGAGGAGAAATGCTGATGAATGGACTTTACCCTCAACCTGGATTCAGGAGAGGACATAAAACCAGCTGGAAATAAAAGGTGTCCGAAAACATTTTTCTGGTTTTTCAAAACTTCAAATTTCAGGTTGGGAGACACTGTATGTTTAAATTCTAAAGGGATGTAGCATCCTGAGAAGAAATAACTATAGACAAAGTGTCCATTTTATGAATAATACAATTTATGGTATGACAGGAGACCAAGGGACATAACACAAATTTGGAGTTAAAGAAATTAACAGACATTCTCGATAATTCCTCAGCTATTATGGAAGAGATGCTGGGACAATGGATGTCCATGTAGCAGTACTTTTTTTTTTTTTTTTTTTGGGAGATGGAGTCTCACTCTGTAACCAGGCTGCGCTGCAGTGGCACAATCTCGGCTAACTACAACCTCCGCCTCCCGGGTTCAAGCAATCCTCCTGCCTCGGCCTCCCAAGTAGCTGGGACTACAGGCACACACTACCACACTCAGCTAATTTTTGTATTTTTAGTACAGATGGGATTTCACCATGTTGGCTAGGATGGTCTCAGTTTCCTGATCTCGTGATCTGCCTGCTTTGGCCTCCCAAAGGGTTGGGATTACAGGTGTGAGCCACCATGCCTGGCCCTTGTGGCAGTACTTTTGAACTTAGTGGCTGAAAGCATCCACCTCCAAACTTACGTATTATATCTGCAAAAGAGCACAAACCATGTGATAAATTTTAAAGGGAAGACAAGCCTGTGGGAATTCAACAGCCATGGCAATGTTTTGAACTTCTTTTTATTAAACATGTAAGAAGTAAGTGAAGTTCAAGACCTAACAGAATTGCCAGGAATTATCTGAGGAATTACCAAGATGACCATAGACACTATGAAATCCTTATGATGCCCTCTGCTGGAGTTTCCTCCTACAGCCAGTGACTTTAAGCCAGAAGCAAATGTCTCTGCAGGCATAAGAATTCAACCCAAATGTACTATTCAATTTTAAATGAGATGACAATAAAATTATGTGCTATATAGCAACAACTTTTTTTTCTTTCAGACAGAGTCTTTCTCTGTTGCCTAGGTTGGAGTGCAGTGGGGCACTCTTGGCTCACTGCAATCTCTGCCTCCTGTGTTCAAGTGATTTTCCCACCTTTTTCACAATGTATCCTTATCTTCAAACTCATCCTCCTAAGTAGCTGGGATTATAGGCCTGTGCCACCATGTCCGGCTGATTTTTGTATCAGCAAAATTATTTCTGGGGTGGAGAGTTAGGAATCTTTTTTCTCCCACACCCAAAAACATGTTCTCCAAATGATCTGTCAATAGAAATAACTGATACCTATATTTGCTAACCTACTTTTTTCTTTCTTTAAATTCAGAACTAGAGTGGGGAAAAGTGATATGAAGAAGGTCCTCTTAATTTTCAACACAAGTTATGGGCTAGGCACTGTGCTAGGTGCTACAGATACGCACTAATATACCCACAATAGTTTTGCCTTATTGCCTTCTATGTTCTAATAATGCACCAAAAGAAAAGTATAGATTAGCTTTTTAATTTTTTGAGATGGAGGTTAATTCTGTCACCCAGGATGGAATGCAGAGGTGGGATCTTGGCTCATTGCACCTTCTGCCTCCTGGGTTCAAGTGATTCTCCTGCCTCAGCCTCCTGAGTAGCTGGGATTACAGGCACGTGCCACCACACCCAGAAAATTTTTGTATTTTTCGGAAAGACAGCTTTCATCATGTTGGCCAGGCAGGTCTCAAACCCCTGGCCTCAAGTGATCCACCTATCTTGGCCTTCCAAACTGCTGGGATTACAGGCATGAGCCATAGTGCCCAGCCAAAGAGAATAGCTTTAAATAGAAAGTATGAAACCAAAAGAAACATATGCTCATCAATTTTATACTGTATTTGGCCAGGTGCAGAGGATCGACTTGTAGTAATGTAAGGGAATAAGGTCAATTCACATCTAATTGTTTGGACAATTTACCAGGAATCAAAAGTTGGAGGACTTGTATCTTTTGAGGTGGGTTGCACAGGCAAGCAGCAAGTTGCCATCTCTCCAAAGTCCTAAACTTTTCTATTTGTCCTACTGTGGAAAAATGAGTCTTCAACTTGATTTCAATTTATATAGGAAAATGCTTAATAAAACTAATAAGGGCTACATTCTAGGACACAGCCAGAACACACATATACTGAACTTGATTCTAGAGACACCTCCTGTTCAATGTAATTGGATTTTCAAGACAACAAAAATATAACTCTGACACAATATTGGAGAGCCAAAAGGAAAGGACATTTTGGGTTGAAATTTTTTCCTTTAAAAATGTGTCCTTGAGTTCTATTAACAATAGCTGAAGCCTGGGAACAGCTCAAATGTCTATTGAGAGGAAATTGATAAATTATATGCATATTATAGAGTAATATTTAGCAATAAAGGGGAATAATCAACTCTATGAATCAACATCATGATCATGGATCAATATAATCTTTCTAATCCCGAGTGGGGAAAGCTAAGCTATAAAGTGTCCTATAATATAAATAAATGTATACAAAATTCTAGAACAGACAAACCTAATATAAGCTAAAAAAGTTCAGAAAAGCGAGGTGCAGTGGCTCATGCCTGTTATGTCAGCACTTTGTGAGGTGGGTGGATCACATGAACTCAGGAGTTCAAGACCAGCCTGGCCAACATGCTGAAGCTACCCCATCTTTACCAAAAATACAAAAATTAGCCCAGTGTGGTGTGGTACACAGGAACAGAAAACCAAATACTACATATTCTCATGTATAAGTGAGAGCTAAACATTGGGTTATACACTGTTTAGCTCTCACTTATATGGAAACAACAGACACTGGAGATTCTTAGAGGGAGGAGGGAGGGTTGGGTGCAAGGTCTGAAAAACTACCTATTAGGTATTATGTTCACTACGTGTGTGATGACATCATTCGTACTCTAAACCTCAGCAGCACACAATACATCCATGTAACAAACCTGCACATGTATCCTCTGTGTCTAAAATAAAAATTAAAAACGTAAAAAATGAACAAAGATATATGAGCAGGCATTTCTCGAAAAAGGAGATACAAATGGACAACACATATATAAACAATTCTTACCCTCTCTAGTCATCACGGGAATGCAAATGAAAACTACCAAGAAATATCACCTCACACCTGTTAGAATAGCTATTATCAAAAAGATGGATTATAACAAGTGTTGGTAAGGATGTGGAGAAAAGGGAATCTTTGTATACTGGTGGTGGGAATGTAAATTAGTATGGCCACTTTGGAAAATAGTATGGAGGTTTCTCAAAAAATTAACAATAAAAATACCATTTTGTTCCAGCAATCCCACTTATTTTATATATAATATATATATCCATATATATAAATATAAATATATATATATATATATGAAGTCATTGAAATCAGTATGTGAAAGAGATATCTGCGCTCCTACGTTCCTTTCAGCACTGTTCACAATAGTCAAGATCTATGAAGAAGACATAGAGGTTATTATTCATTCATGGACGGCTGAATTAATGTTTTATATATATATATATGCATAATGGAATATTATTCAGTATTGTATAATAATGAAACCCTGTCATTTGTGACAACATTGATGGATCTGACGGGCATGAAGTCATGTGAAATAAACCAAACACAGAATGACAAACACTGTATGATTTCATTTGTATTTGAAATCTCAAAAAAAAAAAAAAAAAAAAAACTCAGAAGCGGAGGGTAGACTGGCCAGGAGCTGTGGTGCAGGTAAGTGTGTAGGTGTGATTATAGTACAAAGTTTTAGATATACCACATAAATAAGTTCAGGAGGTCTAATTTACAGCATAGTGCTTATAGCTATGAATACTGTATTGCCTACTTAAAATATAATTGGAAGGTGAATTTTGTGTTAATTATTCTTACCAATAAAAATAATAATTAGAATGGGAGGGAGAACTTTGGGAGGTGCTGAATATGTTTATAATCTCGATGGCAGTGATGCTTTCACAACGTATCCTTATTCTCAAACTCACTGAGATATACACATTAAATAGGTACAGCTTTTTGAATGTAATCATGTCTCAACAAAGTGTTTTTAAGGGGGGTTGGTTAAAAAATTTAAAAAGGAAGTGTAGATATTCCTTAGCCCTTCTCTCATGCCTTTTTTCTCCCTGCTGTCTAGAATTCAGAAATAATAGGTGGGAATTTAGCAGCCAAACTAGGACCTTTTCTAAAGTATAGCAGAGCAGAGAGCTGGAAGGGACCTGCATCCCTAATGATATAAGAAAGTATCTGTACTAGCCCTGAATGGTATAACTACAGGTTAAATTTACGTGAAAAAGAAATCAACTTCTGCCTTGTTTAAGCAAACTTATTCAGGCATTAATTTTATAAATATGTAGAGAATACATACTCCTTATGAGCAGAAACAATGTTTGCGCCATATGGTCCATGATGGGTGTTCAATAATGTGTGATGATGATAATAATGAAGACAATAGTGACAAATAAAAGAAAATAAAAAGCAGTGAAACAAAGTGGTTTAATAGCTATACATAGTTATTTTGTTGAAAGATTCTGCTGCTAATATTATTCAATATTTTTGTATGCTGGCGCAAATAAGGAAATTTACATCGTCTAATAAAAATTATTTATCAATTTATAAAACAGTAAAAATTTCATAGAATGGGGCTAAGAATCTGCACTGCAAACTAACTCTTTCAGTTGATTTTATGCACAGAAATTATTGAGAATCCCCTTATCTAGATCCAACAGATCTGGGCTTACATAGGTGCTATCAAGACTTAAGGAAGAAAATTTTCCTGACTCTATCCATACCTCCAATTAGTAATAGATCTAGAGATTTAAAACTGAAATCCAGACCTCCTGCTTCCATGTGCAGTGTCCTTTCACTGTCCTGTTTTGCTTCACTTGATGAAGAGGATTTGAGAATAAATGACCACATGATTCAACTCCTCCTCAGCTCTGAGCAATATAGCCCTGTCCTGGCAAACAAGAAGCTCCTGCAGTAGTAGAGGAGGCAAATATACGTTCACTAATCTAACATACAAGGCAGTAGGCACTGTACCATAAACAAGACACTGTGGGGGTTCAGACCAGGGGCAAAGTGGGGATTGATAGGGCTAGTAAAGTCTAGGAAGTGTTCACTAACAAAATGTCTAATTATTAACTAAACTAAATGGTTTCTCAACATGACCTAATTAATTGTAACTTACTATAAATGGTTGTTTGTTCATAAACCTTAATCTTTTGCCAAAATATTTGTAGCTTATGTTCCCATTTAACAAGGTTTTCTGGTCAAAACTGTGCACCCACATCATTCTAATGAACTTAGTGTCCAATAAAACATGGACTCTCAGTCGTCCCACGGAAGTTATTTTGTGTGCATAGTACATCTCTGTGAATATGCCTAATGAGGTATGGAAGGACACTTATTATCCAAACAGAGACATTCCACTGGTGCTAGAGAGCCACAGACGGAAGTTTTCTCTGCCTACTGGAAATAAAGCCAAGCTTTCTTCTTTCCTCAGCCGTGAGGATTGCTGACCTCCTCTTTATCATTCTCTCTCTCTCTTTTTTTTTAATGAGCCAAGCTCCACCAAATAATAAGATAAACTTTGTGCAAGACTTGGTAAGAGTAGAGTGTCTGACACCTTATGGTGCTATAATACTCAAAGCAAAAGCAAAATCGCCTAGGACCAGAAAAGGGAGTCACATAGGAAATCTAGAAGACCTATTGGCTGAGAGACCTGCAGCCTCATAGTTCATTAGCTCTCCATAGCAACTCTCACATGAAATGAAGTCAGTGGTGTTTCAAGTGCTTGAAACCCTCTTTACTCTACTTCTAAATGTGAATTAATTATGCAAATTTACTAGCAGTTGCTAGACCTCAAAAGCAAAATAATCAGGCATTATTCTACTAAGTATTGGTCTCCATAACTCCTCTATTTTCTTTAGGAAAAGTTAGTCTAAGACATTTGGCATAAAGGCTATGCCAAAGCTTTGGTGGGGTCAGCCAGGAAGGATTCGTGGGGGTCTCCTTGAAAATACTGCAATAATCTAAGAAATCTTCAACCTATTGCCCCTCAGTACTGTTGGTCCCCTGTACTTGACTTTTCCCCTTAAGTTTGATTCCATTTCCTAATATTATCCTTCCCTCTTCCTCCTCAGCAACTAGTCTTCTAAATTAGAACTTAAACACAATGAGCAGATATGACCCTGCAACAGAGCATGCCCTTCTGCATTGAGCATGCAATCATGAATCACAGGTATAAGACCCCTTGAGCAGACATGGTTTTGGTGATTCTGTGTAGGACTTATTGCTTTTACCCAAGAAGATGATCAGGCATCCTAAGTAGATCAGAAAATTATATGGAGCTCTTGAATGTGTATAGGCAAGAATGATTAAGCAACCTGTTGCCTTATATGAGGCTAACTATCTTCTCATATTTTCCTTTGAATTCAGGATTTCAAGGTTGGGGAAGGAGTGGGAAAGTAGCCATGGACATGTGAGAATGTGGATGGTCCTTTTACATTGTCAGGGATGGTCAAATTCTATGCTTTATGTTGTTTGCTAAAAGACACTTTCCAAAGTTTTCAACAGAAAATATGATGGCACACATGCCTATTCTTGGTGAACCCAGACTTTTCTATCTAGTCTGTGATAGTAAATTTAAAAGGACTGCTTAGGGTAAATGAATCCTTCAAGTTATAAAGATGAAGGGCAGTTTTTGGACAATTCCCATTTCACTGTAGGAAAACTAATCTGGAAGAAATAAAAAGGAAAGTTTGAAGTGGAGAGAACGGAGATGGAAAATGAGTTCAGTTGATCAAATTTTTGTTAAGCACCCACTGTATGTGGGGCTGGGGCCCTTACAAGGAAACAAGCAGACAAAGAACAAAAGCATGTGATGGTCTTGCTCCTAAGAAGCCAGAGGCCAGTCACCTGGATTGCTACATACCAGGAAGATGTCAACAATCCCCTACAATACAGCACTGGCATAGGATGAAGAAGAGGTTTCTTTCTATGAGATAAATAGCACACAACCAAAAAAGAAAGCCAAAAGATACACAAGGCTCGAAAACCTAGGGCACCAACCCTTAAGAGATCTGATTGTTGGTGGTGACTTTGGAAGGAAAATTATTATTAGGATTATTTTAGTACTAAGAGTTTTGAGCTGTCTATCCAAGACTGTCATCTGCACCTCTGCCTTAGGTAATACTGTGTGTGTGTGTTTGTGTGTGCGTGTGTGTGCCTTTACATGTGTTTGAAATACATTCTGTATCCCACACTCCACCTAGGTTTGGGGCTGATCTGAAACTATACTCTTAGGGTTGGGGTTAAGCTACTCTATCACATTGTGAAGAGTTGATATGTAAGAGACTCTTAACATTTTATAAATTACCTTTAAAATGTTTCCTTTTCTGTGAAGGGAAGAATAAGAATTTGTAAACAAATGCAAAAATATATTTAACTAAACAAAAGAACAGTTCGTTAGCCTTGTTATGATTAGCAGAGAGGATAGCTGCAGACACTGTAAAATCACTCAGCAAGAAGATTTGACAAAACCTTAAATATGGCTCTATTTTTCCTGTTTTATAGAGGAAAATATTAAGGCTCTGGGAACTGAAGTGCTTTTCCCAACAGTGGAGTAAATGTCAGAGTAAAGGCTGGGTTTTACATCCCAGCTTTCCCTATACATGCCACCCTATGGTTCTGTTGTGCTGTTCCTTTGTGTGACTCCATAAAGCCTGGTTAAAGGTGATACCATATCAAATTGTATTAATTCAGTAGCACATAACACCAGGGAATTGATTGACAAGATGTTTATCCTTGTGGCATTGCTGAAGACCGATCTGATTAGTAGTTACCAAGTAGCCATCCTGGCTAAATCTATGGGTTTGATTTTTAATTTTGAAAATGAAAAATATTTTAAAATATATGTCTTACATCCATATCCCAGGAAATTCTAATCAAGTTTTAAAACTTCCAAATTTAGATAAACTAATGGCTTTTTTGTTTTAATTTTCTCTCAATGAAAATAGAAGAAACTAACTGGATAGAACAGCACAGCAGAAGCATTACTTATAGCCAAAAATGGGATACAACAAGACTGAAGAAGAAAATGCAAGACAGTGCTTAAAAAAGCAGTCTAATGAAAAGTGAGGTCTCCTCTGGATGTCCTTAGGTAGACATTGCAGCAGAACTGTAAAGTTTTTCTGGAAAGCCGGGGAAGAGAGGAGGAAACAGAGAAGGGGCAAGAGGAGAAAATAGAATGTGGCTCAGAATACCAAGCCTTAGTGCTGTCCCTATCGCCTTCCTTGCTAGATCACTGGGTGATCCTGGGCAAGTTTCTTCCTTTCCCTCAGCTCATTTCCTCATCTGTAATGTAAGTGACTAGACAAGATAGCCTACGATGTTCACTGTAACTCTAACTTTTCTTCCCACAGCAAATAGCTGAAAAAGACACTGTGCTTACAATATGCAACAAATAAAAACAAAAGATTTTTAGAAACCCCTAGTGTAACTTGAATTCTTACAAAAAAGCAATGGTACATCATAATTTTACAAAGCCCTTTTGTGATTTCATTTTTAAAATCACGTCAAGTTTTATTTTACTTCATAGTAAGATAATGGGAGATAAGTGTTAAATGGGTTCATGAAGGAATGTTTGTAAAAGACACAATAATCCAAAATAGGTAATTGTTATATTAGTAGTTCCCTTTACTGGGGGGGAACAGATAAAAGAGTGTTAGGAAAAGCTTCATAAAGTGGATTATATAGAATGTGCTTTAAAAGAATTTGGTGTTTTATTGAGTGGGGAAAGAGCAATATGGGGAGTTATTGTTCAAGGGTTAAAGCTATACAAAATGATTCAATTACGTAGATAGGCTCCAAAACACAGTACGTTTAGTTAACAATGAGGTATTTTGTATTTAACAATTTGTGAAGAAGGTCGATCTTAGGGGTTCTGACAACAACAACAACAACAAAGGGACGTAGGAAACATTTGGAGGTGATGAATATATTATTACCTGGATATTGGTGTGGTAACAAGATAATATATATGTGCAAACTTGCTAAACTATATCCATTAATTATGTACTGTTTGTGTATAACAATTTTACTTCAGTTCCTACTATATTGCCTGGCAAACAATAGATGTATAAAGTGAGATCAATGATTATTGCATGTGCATGTCGAAAATAATAAAGAAAGCAGGTGACAATAAAGACATCCTGAATCTTTGGGAAATAAATAGCATTCACCTGCTTTCTCATCCATTGAGATATCACCACATTTATGTACTTGTGTGTCCCTGGAAATTTCCTGTGGGAGATTTAGTTATTCTCTTTTCGTTAGGCTCTACTGACCAAGAACAAATCACAGACTCAGAGAGCATCATAAAAAGGCCTAGACCCACGATGCCCAGAGACTCCAGCCTCAACCCACATTGATGCTGGCCCTTCAGCCATGAGACTCCATTTGCTTCTCCTTATTCTCCTTTTTTCAATTCTCTTATCCCCAGGTAAGTTGGTAGCTGATTACTATAAGGTTCTGCAGATGAGAAGGCTATATCCCTGGCCAGACAAGATCCTAGAATCAGTCCTGTGGGTTCAAGAACCTAATATTTACAGCTTCACTAGGATTATAATAGGGAAAACTAGAAAAGAGTCTCATTTAGCAGTAGCTCCTGTTGATAAGATTCCATCCATGTCTTTTGACCTAGTGAGTGGATATAATAATGGATGCTGCTGAAACCCAATCCTGTCGGATGAAACTGCCTACATGTAAACTTTCATGCCCCACCAAGCACCTCAAGATACAAAGTAAGGATACAACAGAACGTGACCTCAATGAGATGCCTTTGCGGGACATGGAAATTTACATGCAGGCAGTTAGATCTGACAGGATTGAATTTCTGTGGCATCTATTATTATATTCACTTACTAGGTCAAAAGAGATGGATGGAATCCTATCAATAGGAGCTACTGCTAACTGCGTGTTGACAAATCTGAAGGTTTTATTCGAAGAGACAAACAGAAAAATTATAATCCTAGAATAAGTGAAAATTATATGAGAGACTTTTCAAAATAAATTATGTTTTATGTGGTTATGAATAAAAAATGATTTGCAAAGTGAAACTGAAGAGTAGAAAGGAGAGTTAAAGGAACTTCAGACAAGTGAATTAATAAGCAGCAAAGACACCAAGAAGTGCTGCTCACGGTATATTACAGGTAACCACACAGAAGTGGGTAATATAACTTTCCATACAAAAATGGCTGAAATTTAATGGGCTAAGCATGCATTTTGGGGGCTTTTGGGAAAAAAAACAGCATAATAACTCTAAAGAAGATAAAGAGAAAATTATAAATACAAAATATAAATTAATGAAACAAATGAGAAAAAACTAGTATTTTAAAAAATGTTTTTCAAAAAGTTTAATACACTTTATAATAACCTGGCAACACTGAACAAGAGAAAATGAGAACATGCTTAAAATAACTATTGCAGGAATGAAAGGCTAATATCAAAACAGATGTTTCAGAGATCCAAATAGTTTTTAAATTTGTGTATTATATTCCCTCTTCGCTGTGTACTTGGGGATTTTCCTGTTGCAGTTCACTATATCATGACTGTGTCATCAATTTTGATGCTAGTAAATTATTACCACCAGCAAACAAATATGCTGTTGTTTTTCTGATTTAAGAAAAAGAATGTCCTTGCATTTCTTCTGATGCCAGCTGTCATCCCAATTTTTGCTCTACTTTTCAGCAAAACATCTTAAAATAGTTGTCCATACTCTGTGTCTTCAATTCCTCTCTTCTCATTGTTTCTTAAATATATCCCAATCAGGCTCTCTCCCCCTTTTTCGATCATGCTATTGACACCACTTTTGTCAAAGTTACGAATAATCCCTATATTGCTAGATCCAATGATCATTTTCCACTACAACTTTAATTGGCCTATTAGCAGCATTTGACACAGATAATCACTACCTTCTTCACAGTATACTTTCTTCAGTTGGCTTCCAGGACGGCACATTCACTTGATTCTCAGCCTGTCTCACTGGAGCTACCACTTCGGCTTCCTTTGTTTCTTCCTCATCTTTTGCATCACACCTCCTATAGGAGAGCTCGAGAGCTCAGTTCCTGGTCCTCTTCTCTTCTCCCTCACCACACACTCTTTGGAGGGGCTCAGCAAGTCTCATCCCTTTCAATTCTCCTTTTGGACCTCCTTTTGAACTCCAGGCTTATAATAAATTACCCAACTGCATAATGGTGTATCTACTTGGACACTTGATTTCAAAAGTAACATATATCCAAAACTGAACTCAAGATTTTCCCTCATAAACCTCTACATACAGATTTTTATCTTCTTGCAGAGTGCCATGGTCAGCATTGGAGCCTCTCTTAGCTTTCCTGTCCACTTTCATCCTCAGCAAGCCTCTATCTCTGCACCTCAAGAATCTCTCAGGGCTTCCATCCCTTGCCCAACCTCGGGCAGTAGCTGCCTCACACTCAGTGAAAGACCAGAGAATCTACTTCTCTCAGCTACCTGCCCTCCCCTGCCTTCAGACCTCATCAGGCCTCTCTTCTTATGCACCTGTGAGAACAGAGAGTGAAGGGGGTTTCTCTCAGCTCCCCAACCCACTCCCCAGTAACAGAGGGTTTACCGCGATTCTCACAGTGAGACCTTTACCTTGCTCTGACCTCAAATTGCAGCAGTTCCTACATGCCTGTCCCTCAAAAGTGTCTCAGGTAGTTCTCCTGCTCTCCATCTGATCTTACCTAGGAGCACCCAAGATAGGTCTTGAAAAAACCATTAGTGGGGCCGGGCGCGGTGGCTCACGCCTGTAATCCCAGCACTTTGGGAGGCCGAGGCACTGTAATCCCAGCACTTTGGGATCACGAGGTCAGTGGCTAACACGGTGAAACCCTGTCTCTACCAATACAAAAAAATTAGCAGGGTGTGGTGGCACGTGCCTGTAGTTCCAGCTACTCGGGAGGCTGAGGCAGGACAATCTCTTGAACCCTGGAGGCGGAGGTTGCAGTGAGCCGAGATCATGCCATTGCACTCTAGCCTGGGTGACAGAGTGAGACTCCGTCAAAAAAAAAAAAAAAAGGAAGAAAGAAAAGAGAAAGAAAGAAAGACAGAAAGAAAGAAAGAAGGAAAGAAGGAAAGAAAGAAAGAAAAGAAAGAAAGAAAGAAAGAAAGAAAGAAAGAAAGAAAGAAAGAAAGAAAGAAAGAAAGAAAAGAAAGAAAGAAAAGAAAAGCATTAAAGCATTAGTGAGTGAGTGAGTGTGTTTGGGCCCCTACTGCTGCTAAACTATCACAAGCCCACATTCAGCCTTTCAACATTTGCTTGAGGTTCACTTGTTTCCTTCTTATCTGCATCAAGGGCAGCTTACTCCTGCTTCTGCTGCTGCAACTCAGGTACACACAAATCATCTGTGGATCCGTTCTTTTTTCAGTAGGGCTTCATTACTCTGAATTTAAGTTAATTAGCTTTTTTTGAGACCTCAGCTCTGTCTTTTAAAATGAAATCTATGATCTATAGATTATCCAGCTTATTCTCTTTGTCAGGGCAAGAGCATTTTTCTATAACTTTCTAAATTCTAAACAAAAATAAAAGTTCACTTCTTTTCAGGATCCCCCCCATGTCAGAAAGTATTACTATTATCATCAGTTTAGTGATATTTATGGAATTCCAAGTTAACTCTGAGATCAGCTTTTGGGTTAAATTCTTTCTTCTTGATATATAGCCTTTGAAATTTTATTTGCTGCAGATCTTTTGATAGTGAACAATTTTAGTTTTTATCTGTCAATTTCATATCGTTATTTTTGTTCCTGAAAGACAGCATTACTGAGTACCCAATTGTATACTAACAGTTATTTTCTCTCCACATTTGTTGATACTAGTTTACTCATTTTTAGTTTTTGCTTTACTATAATAATCAGATAAATATTATTTCATTATAAATCGTCCTTTTTTCAATGTTTGTGTGGTCTGGTGTTTGGTTTTAATGTTTTATAATTTATAATTTAACTAATGTGAATTTATTTTTATATCATCTGTTAGAAATACGTTCTTTGAATCAATGGATTTATACTTTTTCCTAATTTCTTTTTGAGAATCTCTTGAAACGGTGAATCCTCTTACACTTCTCTCCCCCCATATTTGAATTAAATAAATGTTAGACCTTGTGTTTCCATGCTACATTCTGAGTATATCATTTAAGCATTTTTTTCTTTACTAATTATCCTGTTACCTATATCTAATATATCATTAATAACTTGCATTTATTTTTAATTTTTTTTTATTCAGACCTGCCTTTTTGTTTTGTTTTGTTTTTTTGGAGACAGAGTCTCACTCTGTTGCCCAGGCTGGAATGCAGTGGTGCAATCTTGGCTCACTGCAACCTCCACCTCCCGGGTTCAAGTGATTCTCCTGCCTCAGCCTCCTGAGTAGCTGGGACTACAGGTGCCACCACCATGTTCAGCTAATTTATATATATATATATACATTTTTTTTTTAGTAGAGACAAGTTTTCACCATCTTGGGCATGCTGTTCTTGAACTCCTGACCTCGTGATCCACCCGCCTCAGCCTCTCAAAGTGCTGCAATTACAGGCATGAGCCACCACGCCCAGCCAGACCTGTCCATTTTTTCTATCATCTATATTGTTTTACTATTGTTTTTACATCTTTGTAATAGTAGATTGTTTCTTTAAACAATCGATACACAGGTGCTTAATTATTTCTCCACATTGACAATTTCAATACATTTAGTTTTCAAGGATTTAAATGTGCTATTCATTTCACTAACTTTTATTCATGGTGTCTTGCTTACCTGATCATTTTTAATACTGAACTCATTGCTCATCCTTAATCTGCCATCATTCTACGGTCTGAAATGAGAATGCTATTATCCAAAGTTTCTCTGTGAAACTGACTCAATGCTTAATCTCAATATAGAAGTTCCAGGATTAACGAACTGGAATTTCTGATGGCCCAAGAGTCAGTAGTACCACCAATAGCATTGCTGACAATAGCAGATCTTCCCAGAAGATCTGGGAAACTCTCACCCCCCTCCATCAGCTAGCCAATACAAAGTGCCCAGGGCTCAAGCTCCAGTTCACAGACTATTTTTGTGTTTGAAAGAGGAGGTATTTTAAGAACATCCCTAATCATTTTCAAGGATAGAATTGTTTCAAAGAGATCCTCTAAAATGTATTTGTTCGATAGCAGCAGTCATTTGAGAGCAGCTAACTTGCAATCGTGGCCAAAAGCCTAAATCTTTCTTTCATTCTAATCACACCTATTTTGTATCTTTTGGAGATATCTCAGATTCAGATGCATTCATACTATTCTATGATTTGGGACACTTCTATAGATTCTTCAAAATGTTACAACATTCCAATGGTATTTTGGGAGGTATAGAAGGAGAGGAAAAACAATGGGCTCAAGTCTCCCCGACTTCTCTTCTTACAACATATTTCATTGTCCAAAACTTTTAGAACTATATTAATACAACATTGACAGTGGGTATTCTTCTTTTCCTTCTGATTTTAATAGGACTGAAGGAAATGTTTTGCTATGAAATTGCTATATGGGTTGTATTCAGAAAAATTTTGACTTTGTAAAGGCAATATTCTTCTCATTATTTTAAAATGTTTACCAGGATTCACAGTATTATTTTCAATTCTCCCCGTTCAAAGGCATATTTAAATAACTTGATGAAAGGGGAATATTATATATGTTAATCTGCTGTGGAAACAGAAAAAAACACCATCAAATTGTATTCTAGAAACTTTGTACACCAATTACACCATCTTTTTTCATCTAAGACATTCAATTATTCCACAGGTGGGAGCACATGAATTAGCATCATTTACTACTTGTAGTTTTCACTACAGACTTTCAGACTTATTTTGCCTAAAGGAAATAGAATGCTTCTAGCTGGGTTTAAAAGCTACAAATAAACAGAGGAAATATACACTATTTTGA
Organism: Homo sapiens; assembly: GCF_000001405.40. NCBI lineage: Eukaryota > Metazoa > Chordata > Mammalia > Primates > Hominidae > Homo > Homo sapiens. The sequence goes on from NC_000004.12 coordinate 9,196,548, forward strand.
AAGTGCCACTTGAGTGTTATGTATGTATTTCAATATTATGTTGCTAATTTTAATTGTTCAAGGTTAAAGAGCTTAAACCTCCTCCTCATGCATTCCTGAATCATCCATTACTCCCACACATACATTGTTTGATAGAGCATAAACCTAAGTAAGTAAAGATGTGGCAAAATGAAAAAAAATAAAATAATGTTATGCCATTCTCATCTAGAATGGCATCAGTAGACAGATGTGAATAAAAGTAATGTGATTATAATTTTAAAAATCATATTTAATAGGATCCATTTATTATTAAATGAACATTAAATTACTTAATGTATAATCAATCTTTAACACAATGAAAACTCTTAATTCAGAGTGAGAACAAAATGAAGGTATTAACTGTTTTCTTCCTAATCCTTGCTTTAGTTGTTATTTCCACCAGACCGTCACTTTATTTGAAGGATATTGTAATAGCACAAAGCCATCAGCTTTACCATTAGAGAGATCTTCATTAAATTATCTTTGTTGTAATAAAGGTCATCTGGAGGAAATACTGGTCTGAATACAATAATAAATGTAAAGCTTTTTAGTATTTTTCACTTTTAGACACAAATTGAAAGAATCATTTATAATGTCAAAAACACTTTTTTCTAACTAATCTATTCTATGACTAAGACACTATTACCAATTAAAGTAGATAGATCAAATCTAAGTGTGGAGAGAAAAAGTAATTTCTACTTATGTTTAAACAGATGAAAGCGTGAATAAATTGAAAGCCTGAAATATTAGCTTGGGGGAATAAAGCCACTTTTGGGGAACAGGAGCAGGATACACAAGCCTTTAGCTCTACACCCTCCCCCCAAGAAAAAAATATATAGATAGTTATGTACAAACCAAAATAGCCCTGGGTGTGTTCAAGGGACCATTTAAGAAACTATGGCAACACAGTGAAGCCAAAAAAAAAAAAAAAAAAAGAGAGAGAGAGAGAAAGAGAGAGTGAAAGAAAAAAAAAATAGCCATATAGAAAAAACAGCTGCTGAAATCAGCATACCTGAGATGCCAGAAACATCTTTTTTGGCTAGAAACAAAAGCAGAAAGGGACTATCTGTATCAGCCACAAGGTGGAACCACCAGGGCCCTCAGTAACCCACTCTGGCAGAAGACACTGGCATTTTTTGCCACTGGAGTAAGCAACATCCCTTTCTGACAGAAAACCCAGAGAAAAAGATGAAGATGTACCATCTCCTCTCACATCCCTTTTCCCCACCAAAAATGCAGTGACTGTTGGGACAAACCAGGATTGGAACTGCCACCTTTCTTAAACTGCATGTGTCTTTGACATATGAGCAGCAACCATTTCAAGAGCTCCCACATAAAAACGTTAATACTAAATTTATTCTGTTACTTAAGAGTGTTTATGGATTTACATTCCATTTGTGGACTAACTATCTCACTGGATCTTCTTTCCTGCAGTAAGGGTGGTTTGGGTCCTGCGGAAGGTCATTGTCTCAATTTGTCTGGTGTTTGCCGAAGAGATGTCTGCAAAGTAGTAGAAGATCAAATTGGTGCCTGCCGAAGAAAGATGAAGTGCTGTAGAGCATGGTGGATTTTAATGCCAATTCCAACACCACTTATCATGTCAGATTATCAAGAACCCCTTAAACCTAAGTTGAAATGAAACTGAGACAAAATAAAAATACATCAAAAGTGAAGTTATTTGCATCTAAGAATATTAAAATATACATATTAAGTACTTCCATCTTGATAACCATCTTGCATTTTCACTTATCAACATAAATGAATAAATCCTAATTTCAAATATACCCAAGTACTATTTCTTTGTGAGTCATTAACAGATCTTAACAAAACTTTTAAAAATGAGAAAACTGTTACTTTTGTTTTCCAAGATGGTGGATTGATGGTGGATTGAAGGCATTGTTAGTCTGCCTCTTGCACTTGGAAAGACAAAATGGTGTGTAGAGACTCACACTGTGAACTTTCTTTCAAGAAGCAACACAGGAATTTAACAGGAAAATTGAAATAAGCCACAGACCATTTGAAAGAAACAGCAGGATGCAGCTTACACCATAAGCTAGGCAGAAAATTGTAAGTTTCCAGGGTGTGACAGGAGGGTAAACTGACTCTAAGATATACACTTCCACTGGGAAACCTATCAATCCAGGCCGTGAGGGAAGGCCTTAACCCTACTCAGCGCTGGAGCTGATTTAGGGAAAAGTGGTGAGTATATGAGGAGTGGCATTGGGATGTGCTTTGAATCTCCAGCACATTCCCCGTTTCTGGTAGAATGGAGGGAAGCCAGTTCTGATTCTACCTCAGACAGGACCTCCTAGAAGTCTGCCAGCTAAGTCAGATGGTGGTCACAGGTTGAGACAACCTCCCAACTGAAATGTGTGATATAATCTTGACTGGGGACAAACTCCCCAGGCCGGAACTGAGAGGTGAGTGGGAAGTGTGCTGCAGCAGCAAGCACAGGAGCTGGGGGCCCCTGCTCTGCAGGTGGATCAGGAAGGGTGTGGCCTGAAGGTTGCAGTTGCTGTCTCCATAGGGGAGACTTATGGTATGGGTCAGTTTTGAGTTCTGAGCTCAGACTTCTTGAAACTTAGCTAGCTACTCCCAGTGGAACACTGTGGGTGTGAGACCTGCCTTGCCAAGTGTGTGGGAGCTGGATGGGGCTTACTACCAAGCTGCTACTCCCCATTCTTCATATGGACTCTCCTTGTACAGAGGCAGAGACAGCTTCACTTCTCTCTGGAAAATTACTCCAGTGGCCCAAGAACTGCCTTCCAATTCCCACTGGAGCCACTGCTTGTCCCACACATAGAGAGCCAGAGCATCACCTTACCTGGCCTAGTTCCCAACTGGCTTTGCTCAACCACCTACCCTGGTAGATTAACACAAATAACAGAAGAAACTTTTAGAAGCTCTATGGCTTCACCTATTTCCTGAGACACCAGAGTGCCTCCCCTGTGTAACATAAGGCAAGTCCAAATCTCACCACTACCACCACAGCTGGCAGTCTTTTGGAAGCACCACCTCCTGGCTGAAGGCCTACTGACAGTCCTTTACAGCATCTGCAGGTAGAATAACATAGCACCCAGGAAGGAGAAAAGTTGTGAGTGACCACAACTGTTACCATTGCTTGTATCATTCTGGCTAAGCAGGAGGCCCTGAGTCTCTCCATGTGATGAGTTCATTACTACTACAACTGGCATTTGAGAAATCCAATACACAACACACTAGGACTATTTATAACCAAGGAATCTTTCAGAGTCTACATCACTCCCCTGCCATCCCCATCTGATCAGCTGATGATACACACTGCTGTGAGACTTGAAGACAGATTATATCACTGGATCCATTGCAGACATTCTTGAGCATCAGCCTGGTGTGCGGCAGCCCGACTGGGTAGCTAGACCCAGAGAAGCAGCAGCAGCATATGCAGTAATCTGAATTTCAGGGCCTCCTACTCTGAGGAAAGAGGAAGCACACCACATCAAGTGAGCACCCTGGGGACAAAATAATCTAGATGGCCTTGAGTCCCAGAATATTCCACTTGTGGGAAGTTGTTTGGTGGTTTGTTTGTTTTTGTTTTTTTCCAGCAGAGGAACATGTGCATGCTAGGCTCAGCGAGGAAAGTCTGTAGCTATATCTCAACTATCAGGCAGCCTTGATGCTCAAGAAGAGTCTTGGAGAATGGACACTTATTTTCCATATCATACACTACTGCAGACACAATAGTACTGTAATCACAGCCAGTGTACTGAGGTGAGTGGCCATAAAACCTACTGAGACACCAGCCAGGACAGCTAGAGGAGTACTTGCTTTACCACTCCCCCAACCCCAGGCAGCACAGCTTGCAGCTCCAAAAAAGACCGCTTCCTTCTGCTAGAGGAGATTAGAGGAAAGAGTAAAAAGGACTTTGTCTTGCATCTTGGATATCAGTTGAGCCACAGTAGGATAGGGCACTGATCAGGGTCATGAGGTCCCCATTGTTTATGTAACTAACTTTTTTTTTTTTTAATTTTATAGGCTGATAGGCAGAAGGGACTTGTCTCAAATAAGACTTTGGACTTGGAGTTTTGAGTTATGCTGGAATCAGTTAAGACTTTCGGGGACTGTTGGGAAAGCATGATTGGTTTTGAAATATATATAAAAGACATGAGATTTGGGAGGTGCCAGGAGCAGAATAATATGGTTTGGCTCTGTGTCCCCACCCAAACCTCATCTCAAATTATTATCCCCACACATCGACAGAGGGACCTGTAATCGCCATGTATCAAAGAAGTTTACTTCATGCTATCCTCATGATAGTGAGTGAATTCTTAGGAGATCTGATGGTTTTAAAAGTAGGAGGTTTTTTTTTCTGTGCACTCACTTCTCTCTCCTGCCACCTTGTGAAAAAAGGTGCCTGCTTCTGTCTTGCCTTCCACCATGACTGTAAGTTTCCTGAGGCCTCCCCAGCGATACAGAACTGTGAATTAATTAAACATCTTCCCTTTGTGAATTACCCAGTGTGGGGTACTGTCTTTACAACAGTGTAAAAATGGACTAATACAGGTTCCCTGAAATATTCTGAGTCCCTTTGGAGGCAATAATCTCTTCGTACCAGCATGGTATACTGATGAAGTACATCCTGATCTCATGGGCTGAGAAAGAATTTATACATACCCTTTATGTGCCAGCAACTCTGTGTGCAGGCTTTTGAGCCCCAGAATGGGCTTTCTTGCCCCATCTAGTCTATTTAACATTTTTCAAAGCCAACTCAATATCTCTCATCCACACTGGGATAAGTCCTAAATTGCTGTCTGTTGCCCACCTGAGATAATGAGATGTTGTTAAATCAGGTGTGTGTGTGACCCAGATATGTGTATCTGGAGTGGCAGGAGAGGGTCTATCTGTTCACAAGAGACTGCAACATTTTCTAAGTCAGTTCAGAAGCTTATTGATTCACCTTTGCAAGCAACGTAGCCATGAGAAAGGTCTCCACAAATTCCTGACCTTCTGGAAATTTTTAAAGTCTCCGCAGGTGTCCAGAGGTGACTGTAGCTGTACAGAAAGTCACTGCCTGGATAACTGGCCTGTTAAAGCAAACGCAAAGTACGCTAAGCCCACTAAGGATACCCAGAAGCCATGGTATTCAGTTAATTTTTGTCTTTCTTGCAGGTGGGAGAATACTGAGGATTATGCCCTCCTATAGCCAGTGAAGGTTACTCCAGTGCCTAGATGTACCAGTCAAGAGAGGCCATGGGAGAGCAGATGGCAGAAGGGCAGCCAGGTCCTTTCGCTGGGGTTTACTGCTTGTCATGAGCTCTGCTTCTGGGCAGCATGTGTGATTTCTGACTCCTGCCATGTCCTCAAGAAGCCTTGCCCCATCAGCCAGCTGTCCTACCTCCTGAAAGCTGGTGCATGTTTGTTAGCATGGAGATCCAGAACAAGAGTCACTTTAGTATTTATCCATAGAGTCCCCATGTGTGCACATGCCTACCTGCAGGTTGTTTTTCCTATTTTTCTGAATGTTAATCTTTGCCTTCTGGAACTTAATATTACCCCCTGTGGCCAAATATGGGATAATTGTCAGGGGAAACTGCTCTTTAGGTCCCAAGTCCACAGGGTTAGTAGTATTATCAATATTAAAATTATTAATTATGGATATTAGTATCATAATAATCATCATCATTCCTTTTAATACTCATCAATATGTTTATTATTACTATAATTAAGATGGTTTATTAATGTTATTATTCAGTAATAAATGTTTAGTTTCTCCATTCACTCAGTCAAGCTGCAGACTGACTCCAGATATGACTATGGATATGACTGCATATGACTATGAGGGTTACCCTGCAGATATAGACATGAACAGCTGTCCCAGAGACAGCTCTTGCAGCCACCAATTGCTCTTTCATAGGATGAGTTCCTTACAGGAGAGAAGGGCTGATCTCCATGATGTGGTTTCCTCAGGGTCTCATTAAGGGCTAGTGATACAGGAGCACTGCCTACCCCTCTTCCTCACGTGAGAGTGGTACATTCTCTGTTGTCATGGCTGAGATGGCTCCATCTTGAACATATAAATTCCAGGTTGTAGAAGCAAAAAAGCAAAAGATGCATTGGATCTGCATAGGGAACTGCAAGCCACTCCAAACTGAGTGAATGGAGAAACTAAACATTTATTACTGAATAATAACATTAATAAACCATCTTAATGATAGTAATAACATCTGGGAAATGTCTCCCAGAGTGGGATGCTATGCTGACCCTACCTAAAAGCACATTCCCTAGATGTTGCTTGTTGCCTGGAGTTTGAACAGCATTGTCCAAACTTTGCCATTGAAGAACAAGGAAACTTACCTGGGGTAGTTGCAGGTGTAGGCCTAAATCCAGGTGTGAAGATCCTTGAACTGGGGGTGTTTCTGTACCTGTAGAGATTGCAGACTGGGAAAGGTAAGGCTCTGGTCATGCCAGACTCTCTAGAGGTTAAGAATGTGATCTGCAGAAATACATGAACTAGCACAGGCAACTGTAGAACATCTGCCCCCAAGAATCATAAATGCCTTTTCACTCATCCTGCAGAATGCACTCTCTACTTTAATGATCGTGTGGGATGTGACTTTAATTTCTACGCATGGGGATTGATCTTAAGAAAAAGCAGGGAAAGTGCCTTACCTGTCCTGGGACTCTGCTCCACTTGCCAACATTTGAATGGATTCATTTGTGTGGTAGTCAAGCTACAGGAAATAAAGGGACCAGTCAGTCTTCCACACAATGACACAGAGGCCAATTATCACAAGTCCAAATCTCCATTTGTCATCCAGCTCACATTCCCGCTGTGACACAAAGTCACATGCACTACTGTCCAACTCCAAATAGTAGCTTCACATAGTATGTCAGCACTCTCCCACCCATCACCTCTTTTAGAAGGTCTTCCTCTGGATTGAAAATGTCCTGTGATAAAAGATAATGACCACAGGAAGTAGTTGTTTTTTTAAGATCTGATCCACATGAGAAGGTAGGACATCTAATTTGGTCTGAGGACTTTAGCTATGCTAATATTTCAAGTAACTGACCCCTGTGTCTATAGATTTACAATGGGAATGGAGTGAGAGATGACGAAAACTGTTTCCTTTCCTAGTGAGTATGAGGAAGAACCCTTACATCATGCTCTAAGTTGTCTATTCTCCATACAGAGCCATCTCCCATTTAGAGAGAAGACATGGATTGTCAGTGGGAGCAAGCCTGAGACATGCCCACTGGCAGCTCCCAGAAACCCCTGAAACCTGGCCACATCATGAAGTTTCAACTGTGGGTCTCATGCCTCTCTTGGTATCTTGAATTCAGAACATTTAATGTCATGGCAGGCCAGGGAACCTCCTCTGCTCTAGTTTGGCTCTCTATCGCATATTCACACACACACACACAAACACACACACACAAAGTCACACAAACTCACACATCAACCTACTGGCAAACCAAGGTAGAAACACACAGACATACATACCTGCTCAATCCAGGCCAATATCCCTGACAACATCAATGCAAAAATTCCTAATAAAATACTAGCAAACAGAATCCAGCAGCACATCAAAAAGCTTATCCATCACAATCAAGTCGGCTGCATCTTTGGGATGAAAGGCTGGTTCAACATACACAAAAGAATAAATGTAATTGATCACATAAACAGAACAAAAGACAAAAACCAGACAATTATTTCAATAGATGGAAAAATGCCTTTGATAAAATTCAGCATCCCTTCATGTTAAAAACTCTCAGTAAACTAGGTACTGATGGAACATATTGCAAAATAATAAGAGCTATTTATAACAAACCCACAGCCAACATCATATTGAACAGGCAAAAGCTGGAAGCATTCCCTTTGAAAACTGGTACAAGACAAGGATGCCCTCTGTAACCGCTTCTATTCAACATAGTATTGGAAGTTCTCACCAGGGCTATCAGGCAAGAGAAAGAAATAAAGGGTATTCAAATAGGAAGAGAGAAAGTGAAGTTGTCTCTGTTTGCAGATGACATGACTTTATATTTAGAAAACCCCATCATCTCAATTCAAAAACTTATTGAACTGATAAGCAACTTCACCAAGGTCTCAAGATATTAAATCATTGTGCAAAAATCACAAGCATTCCTTTACATCAACAATAGTCAAGCAGAGAGCCAAATCAAGAATGAACTCCCATTCACAATTGCTAGAAAGAGAATAAAATAGCTAGGGATACAGCTAGGAGTACAGGGGATGTGAAGGACCTCTTCAAGGACAACTGCAAACCACTGGTCAAGGAAATAAGAGAGGACACAAACGAATGGAAAAAACATTCCATCCTCATGAATAGGAAGAATCAATATTGTGAAAATGGCCATACTGCCCAAACTAATTTATAGATTCAATGCTATACCCATCAAGCTACCATTGACATTTTTCACAGAATTAGAAAGAACTATTTTAAATTTCATATGAAATCAAAGAATACCCCATATAGCCAAGACAATTGTAAGCAAAAATAACAAAGCAGGAGGCATGACGCTACCTAACTTCAAACCATACTAGAAGGCTACAGTAACCAAAACAGCATGCTACTGCTGCCAAAACAGACATATAGACCAATGGAACAGAACAAAGACCTCAGAAATAACACCACACGTCTACGACCGTGTGATCTTTGACAAACCTGACAAAAACAGGCAAGGGAGAAAGGATCTCCTATTCAGTAAATGCTGCTGGGAAAACTGGCTTGCCATAGGCAGAAAACCAAAACTGGGCCACTTCCTTACACCTTATACAAAAATTAACTCAAGATGGATTAAAGACTTAAATGTAAAATCCAAAACCATAAAAACCCTAGAAGAAAACTTAAGCAATACCATTCAGGACATAGGCATGGGCAAAGACTTCATGACAAAAATGCCAAAAGCAATTGCAACAAAAGCCAAAATTGACAAATTGGATCTAATTAAACTAAAGACCTTCTGCACAGCAAAGAAACTATCATCAGCATGAAAAAGCAACCTACAGAATGGGAGAAAATTGTTGCAATCTGCCCATCTGACAAAGGTCTAATAACCAAAGTTGACAAGGAACTGAAACATATTTACAAGCGAAAAAACAAACAACCCCATCAAATGTGAGCAAAACATATGAACAGAAACTTATCAAAAGAAGACATTTATGCAACCAACAAATATATTTTTAAAAAGCTCAACAACACTGATCATCAGAGAAATGAAAATCAAAATTACAGTGAGATACCATCTCACACCCGTCAGAATGGTGACTATTAAAAAATTAAGAAACAATAGATGCTGGTGAGGCTGAGAAGAAAGAGGAACGCTTTTACACTGTTGGTGAAACTGTAAATTAGTTCAACCATTGTGGAAGACAGCATGTCGATTCCTCAAGGATCTAGAACCAGAAATACCATTTGACCCAGCAATCCCATTACTGGCTATGTACCCAAAGAAATATAAATCATTCCACTATAAAGACACAGGCACACGTATGTTTATTGTAGCACTATATACAATAGGAAAGACATGAAACCAACCCAAATGCCCTTCAGTGCTAGACTGGATAAAGAAAATGTGGTACATATACACCAAAAAATACTATGCAGTCATAAAAAGGAATGAGATCATGTCTTTTGCAGGCACATGGATGAAGCTGGAAGCCATCATACTGAGCAAACTAACACAGGAACAAAAAAAAAGCAAATACCGCATGTTCTCACTAATAAGTGAAAGTTGAACATTGAGGAAACAAGGACACAGTGAGAGGAACAACACACAACACGGCCCGTTGAGGGCTGGGGGTGAGGGAAGGAAACTTACAGGATAAGTCAATAGGTGCAACAAACCACCATAGCAAAGGATACCTATATAACAAACCTGCTCATTCTGCACATGTATCCTGTAATTTTTAAAATTAAAAAGAGGAAACACATACATACATACATACATGCATACATACATACATACGTATGTACATACTTTTGAAAAACGTCTATACAGCTCGGATCTTCATTCCTGGTAAGCCAAGGAACCTGGAGAAACACCAGAATTCTGTCCCTCTGAGAATGCCGGACAGGTTTACCTTCATCAGCATAAAATTTTGGAACAAATGTGGTAACTGCAGGTTCTCCCCACAATGAGTAACTGAAAATTGAGGCAGTATTTCAGATCTTAAAAAACTGATGAAGTGATTCGCCACACATTTGGGTTGTTTTTGCCTTTTCCTACTATGAAGAGGGCTAGTAGGAAGAATGGTGTATAAGTATCTGTTTGATTCCCTGCTTTTAGAATCCTTTGCTTGTTTGTGTGTTTGTCTGTTCCTTCTTGAGACAGGATGTCACTCCAGTCAGCCAGGCTTTTCCAGTGTGTAATTTTTGTTGTTTCCTTTTGTCAAGTTTTAGAAGTTGTTATTTTATTTCTATTGAATTTTAAGGCATTTTTAGATATGTATTAAAACATTATCACACATGCCGTGTGTTACATTGCAATTATTTTCATCGTTCCTTTAAGAAACAAAAGGTTTTAGCTTAGATATCTTCCAATTTGTGAAGCTTTTCTGATTTTGACTTTTTAAAAAATGCTGTCATATACAAGAAACCCTTGGATTAAAAATGCCATGAATATTTCTCTTTTCTTGCAGTCATAACTTCGGTGGATGTCATCAATTAGTCTCTGGGTTATAGCATGTTTTCTTGAAAGTGTTTCACAATCTATTTTGGGCACTGAGAATTTCATCAAACTTAAGTGAATGTTTCTACATTCACTATTGAGGGGAATAGTACATTTGATGCTTTATTATTTGCATATCTTGCTTCCAAAAGACAATTTCATGCAAAGACTTGTCTTCTCCCCAATGCCAGATCATTACAACATGATATGGAATCAACTGGCCAAAAATGGGAAGGTTATCTCTGGAATGTCTATTTGACTCCATTGATCTCTCCATCTTAATTAAGACAAAGAATATGCTGTATTAATTACATAACATTGCTGCAAATTCTCAAGTCAGAAAGTGTAGTTATAACTTCTTGTCATTTAGTCGCTGAAAGAATGATCTTATCTCACAGATGCACATGCTTGGAAGTACTTCTCAAAGCATACACACACATCCAGAAACAAACACACAAATACACACATACACACAAACTGTTTAACATGTACACAATTGTTAACTAGCATTGTTTTACATGAAATAAGGCAAATGTTTAGCCCTATCCTAACCCGGTTCCACTTCTATCATATTTGCCCGTAATACTGACAAGTAAATCTGCTTCAACTCTTCCATAATCACAATGTAAGCTGTGTCCATTAAATTCTCTGAGGAATGCAAGAGGATACAACCTAAGACAAAAAACTTAATTGAATCCTGATATTTCATTCGTAAATAGGGTAATTGATGGATAAATGTAATGGTCTCGGTGAGTGGACAGTAATTATATAAGGGCTGATGCAGCAAGATACTTAATTATTTAAAGGTGTTTCAAAGAAATTGAAACACAAGAGTGGGTGTATTCAACTAAAATAAAATCAGAAAGCCCTGAAATAAATCACATTTTGGAGGTAAAAAAATGACATTAGAGGAGATTCTGGGTCAATCATCCAGCTGTGAAAGTTGCATCTTGGAAGCAGGATCCCTGTAATGCAATGACACTTGTTTATCAGTGGTGGTCTTCCAGTGGAAAAGATTTTGAAGAATGAATCCTTCCTTTTGTTATTTGAAGATAAAATTTCATGCCAAATCTTGGGTTTTAAACTCTATTTAAACGTTAACAGAATTAAATAAAATGGCGAAAAACCAAGAGATTATTTGATTTGGAATCATCACATATGCATTTTTTGTTAGGTACAGTTATCAAAGATGACCTACCGGAGAGACACAACTGTGGAGAATGGACCCGTACTTTTGTATATTTGCTGATTAGATTTCATAGTCCATTTCTCATTAGGTACAGAGATCAAAGTTGATCTACACAAGAGTAGAGAGGTCCAGGACAGAACTCAGGGCTCCGTAGAACCACAGAATTTTGGGGGCAACATTGCTCAAGAACAAAAATGTGCTTATTCAGAGTGTTTCTGTGTGACATGTGTGTGAACTACAGTGCAATGAGCATGACACGCAGGCAGGATATCAATTCGGCTCCCCTCAAAAGCTGTTATGAGCATTAAAGGACACCAATGCCTAGTTCCCGGTTAAAACGATAAGACTCTCGCACACCCTGTGGGAAGCCACGGCATCTGGATTGCTCATGCTTCTGGGGATCATTTTCCTGAAAATCGTGGCTGCTTTCTCCCTGTGTAGCATCTTTCTAAGCAGTGCTCCTTTCTTCCCACAGGAAACTTTACATCAGGCACAGGAAGCTTTCTGATGGAGCACACCTGGCCCATGAAAAGACAAGGGAAAGAAATGGGGCCAAAGGTCACACTCCTCTCATTCCATCATACTCCTTAAAATCATCCTAATTTCATGGGTCCTGAAGCCAGGGCTGTTTCTTTACACCTAGAGGCCTTGGCGCCGGGCCTCAATTCTGCCCTGTTGCTTACTCTCTAAGACATGTTGGGAAAGTCCCAAGAGCCAGGATCTTCATTCCTGGTAAGGCAGACAGAATGAAGACACACCAAAATTCTGTCCCTCTTAATTCAGGGAACGTGTCCACTTTCGTCAGAATTAAAATTTTTGCACCAAATGTGCTAACTGGAATTCCACCATACAATGCATAACTGGAAATGGAGGGAAAATCCCAGATCATGAACAATCAAAGCGAGAATCCAGGAGACACACGGCTTATTTTGGCCTTTTCCCACTGAAACAAGGACCAGTATTAAAAATGGTATGCTATACTCTGTTTCACTCCCTGCTTTTAAACGTCTCCGATGTTTCTTCTTGAGACAGGGCCTCACTGCCGTCCGCCGGGCTATCTAGAGTATAATTTTCAGTGTTTGCTTTTGTCAACCTTAGAACATTTTATTTCGTCTCTATGAAATGTTGATCCATTATCACATACACATGGAAATATTATCACCCACGGTGTCAGATACGTTGTTTTTATTTTCATCACTTCAAGAAAAAAAAGGGTATAGTTGGGATACCTTCTGATTTCTCAAGATTTTTCTTTCATATTTTCTTAAACTGCCGTCGGACGTCAGAAACTACTCACTATACAATGTCGTGACAATCTACATTTTCGGGCAAACACAAATTTGGGGAATGTCATCAAATAGTCTCCCGCTGATTGCATGATTCCACAAAGTCCTACACAGTCTACATTGTGCACTGAGTATCTCTTCAAACTTCAGTGCTTCTTTCTACCATATGATGCTTTATCATTTGGCAATCTAGCTTCCACAAGAGCATTTCATGCAAACACTTGTCTTGTTGTCCACTGGCAAGTAATTCAACACGGATAGAGAATCAATAGGCTCAACGTGGAAAGGTTATCGCTGGAAGGTCTGTTTGATTCCACGGATCTCTCCTTTCTCATTAGGGAAGAAAATACGCTGTGCTAAATATTATACTTCATTGACTATTCTCAGGTCAGAAAGCACACTTCCGAATTCTTGTCCTTCGGTCACTGAGAGGATGATGGTAGCTGCCAAAAGTACATACTTGGAAGTTCATCCCAGCACAAACACACATACACACACGCCCCCCCCCACACACACAAACACACTCACACACACACACACACACACGGTTTCCAAGGTAAAGATTTCTTCCCTGCCATTGCTTTACCTAAAATAAGGCAACTGTGTGGCCACTGTCCCAACCCGGTTACACTCCTATTATATGTGCTTATCATCCTGAGGAGTAATCTGATTCAGGTGTTCTGGAAGTCATGATGTGGGCTGTGTCTGTTGAATTCCCAGCGATGCAAGGGGACACACCCTGTGACTCCTTCCTGAATTGAGTGCTGATATTTGATTGGCTAATCGCGCACCTGATGAGTGGGTGGGGTGTTCGCGGTTGGTGTGGGTGAGTTATAGAAGGGCTGATGCGGCCAGAGAGCTCGTCATTTGAAGACTCTCTCGGAAGAGATAGCGTCTTTCTGCAACCTGCGGTCCCAGCAGAAAAACCTTGTGATCCTTGTTCCAGTCGACATGGAGGACGACTCACTCTACTTGGGAGGTGAGTGGCAGTTCAACCACTTTTCAAAACTCACATCTTCTCGGCCAGATGCAGCTTTTGCTGAAATCCAGCGTACTTCTCTCCCTGAGAAGTCACCACTCTCATGTGAGACCCGTGTCGACCTCTGTGATGATTTGGCTCCTGTGGCAAGACAGCTTGCTCCCAGGGAGAAGCCTCCTCTGAGTAGCAGGAGACCTGCTGCGGTGGGGGCTGGGCTCCAGAATATGGGAAATACCTGCTACGTGAACGCTTCCCTGCAGTGCCTGACATACAAACCGCCACTTGCCAACTACATGCTGTTCCGGGAGCACTCTCAAACGTGTCATCGTCACAAGGGCTGCATGCTCTGTACTATGCAAGCTCACATCACAAGGGCCCTCCACATTCCTGGCCATGTCATCCAGCCCTCACAGGCATTGGCTGCTGGCTTCCATAGAGGCAAGCAGGAAGATGCCCATGAATTTCTCATGTTCACTGTGGATGCCATGAGAAAGGCATGCCTTCCCGGGCACAAGCAGGTAGATCGTCACTCTAAGGACACCACCCTCATCCACCAAATATTTGGAGGCTACTGGAGATCTCAAATCAAGTGTCTCCACTGCCACGGCATTTCAGACACTTTTGACCCTTACCTGGACATCGCCCTGGATATCCAGGCAGCTCAGAGTGTCCAGCAAGCTTTGGAACAGTTGGTGAAGCCCGAAGAACTCAATGGAGAGAATGCCTATCATTGTGGTGTTTGTCTCCAGAGGGCGCCGGCCTCCAAGACGTTAACTTTACACAACTCTGCCAAGGTCCTCATCCTTGTATTGAAGAGATTCCCCGATGTCACAGGCAACAAAATTGCCAAGAATGTGCAATATCCTGAGTGCCTTGACATGCAGCCATACATGTCTCAGCAGAACACAGGACCTCTCGTCTATGTCCTCTATGCTGTGCTGGTCCACGCTGGGTGGAGTTGTCACAACGGACATTACTCCTCTTATGTCAAAGCTCAAGAAGGCCAGTGGTATAAAATGGATGATGCCGAGGTCACCGCCTCTAGCATCACTTCTGTCCTGAGTCAACAGGCCTACGTCCTCTTTTACATCCAGAAGAGTGAATGGGAAAGACACAGTGAGAGTGTGTCAAGAGGCAGGGAACCAAGAGCCCTTGGCGTAGAAGACACAGACAGGCGAGCAACGCAAGGAGAGCTCAAGAGAGACCACCCCTGCCTCCAGGCCCCCGAGTTGGACGAGCACTTGGTGGAAAGAGCCACTCAGGAAAGCACCTTAGACCACTGGAAATTCCTTCAAGAGCAAAACAAAACGAAGCCTGAGTTCAACGTCAGAAGAGTCGAAGGTACGGTGCCTCCCGACGTACTTGTGATTCATCAATCAAAATACAAGTGTCGGATGAAGAACCATCATCCTGAACAGCAAAGCTCCCTGCTAAACCTCTCTTCGACGACCCCGACAGATCAGGAGTCCATGAACACTGGCACACTCGCTTCCCTACGAGGGAGGACCAGGAGATCCAAAGGGAAGAACAAACACAGCAAGAGGGCTCTGCTTGTGTGCCAGTGATCTCAGTGGAAGTACCGACCCACACGTAGGGGTGCATACACACACACACACACACACACACACACATAACTACACCCAGAAGCGCGCACGCAAACACACACACACCCACACAAACACGAACACCGTCAATCCTACATAAACTAATGAGGAGCCCAAGTTTCTGTCTGTACAACAGGGACAACTGGATAGAGATGGCTACATCTCAGGATGAGCCCGCATATGGGAAACATCAAGTTTTGGGGTCGTGAGTCTTCCGAACCTCTGGAGGGACTGTCTGAGTGTTTGTGTTCATGATAGGTGACATTCAGTGTGTATTTATGAATATGACCTACCGACGTGTAGGTTTGCGTGTGAGGTAATTGCAGGGGACTCGGTTTCGTATTTTCTCTTGGGGTGTGTTTCATTCGACAGTTGTTGGTCGGCACGAGAAGGTGAAATTTGGCTCATGTGGGACATCCGTGGATCATTCTCGCCACCTTGAATAGTGGAAACTGGAATGCATTTGGAAGAGAAGAACGGTGCTCTTCTTTCTTCCCCGGGCTCGCCGTTTTTACACTAGTTCCTGAATGGACCTCAGGCGCCCTGGGACTTGTGCTCTTGCTGGAACCCACATAACGCCGGAAGCAGACAGACCGACTTGCCTGTTTCACGGTGCCCGCTTCCCATGAGTCCAAACGGAAAATTTTCCCACGGGCATGTAAGTCATCTGGAAGTAAGCTGTATTGATAATAAAGGAAAGCAAACACAGGAGTGTGTGTATTCAACAGAAATAAATTCAGAAAGCCCTGAAATCAATCTCACTGGGTGTGTTTAAAAATGGCATTTGGGGAATTTCTGGGTCATTTGTCCAGCTGCGAAAGCTGCATCTCTGAAGCACAGTCCCTGTCCCGCAGTGAGACTTATTTATCCGACGTGGTGTTTCCGTGGAAATGATTGTGGGAAATGGCCCCTTCCTTTTCTCTATTTGCTGACTAGACTTCATGGTCCCTTTCTCGTCAGGTACAGTGATCAAAGTTGACCAACCCCAGAGGAAAGCTGCCCAGGGCACAACTCAGGGCTCCATAGAACCACAGAATCTTGGGAGCAACCCTGCTCAAGCACCCAAATGTGCATACGAACAGGGTCTCCGTGTGACGTGTGTGAAAACTACAGTGTGATGAGCATGACTGGCAGACAGCTTATCGATTGGGCTCCCCTCAAAATCGGTTATGAGCATTCAAGCACACCGATGCCCAGGTCCCGGCTGCAGGAATAAGACCCTCCAGGGTCTTGTGTGAAGCCTCGGCATCTGCATTGCTCATGCTTCTGGGGATCATTCTCCTGAAAATGGTGGCTCCTTTCTCCCTGTGGAGCATCTTTCTAAGCAGTGCTCTTTTCTTCCCCCAGGACACTTTACATCCGGCACAGGAAGCCTTCTGATGGAGCACACCTGGCCCATGAAAAGACAAGGGAAAGAAACGGGGCCAAAGGTCACAGTCCTCTCATCCCATCATCCTCCTTAAAATCATCCTAATTTCATGGGCCCTGAAGCCAGGGCTGTTTCTTTACACCTAGAGGCCTTGGCGCCGGGCCTCAATTCCGCCCTGTTCCTTACCGTCTAAGACATGTTGGGAAAATCCCTAGAGCCAGGATCTTCATTCCTGCTAAGCCAGACAGCCGGAAGACACACCCAAATTCTGTCCCTCTTACTTCAGGGAACATGTCCACTTTCGGCAGCATTACAATTTTGGCACCAAATGTGCTAACTGCAATTCCACCATACAATGCGTAACTGGAAATGGAGGCAACATCTCCGATCCTGAACGATCGATGCGAGAATCCAGGATATGCACGGCTTATTTTGGCCTTTTCCCACTGAAACAAGGGCCAGTATTAAAAATGGCACGCTATCCTCTGTTTCACTCCCTGCTTTTAAACGTCTCCGATGTTTCTCCCTGAGACAGGGCCTCACTTCCGTCAGCCGGGCTTTTCTACGGTATAATTTTCCTTGTTTGCTTTTGTCCAAATTAGAACTTTTTATTTCACCTCTAGGAAACGTTGATCCATTATCACATACGTATGGAAATATTATCACACATGCTGTGAGATACGTTGTTTTTATTTTCATCAATTCTTTAATAAACAAACGGTTATAGCTGGGATACCTTCTGAGTTCTCAAGTTTTTTGTTTCGTGTTTTCTTAAACTGCCGTCGCACGTCCGAAACCGCTCACTATGCAGTGTCATGACCGTCTCTCTTTTCTGGCAAACATAAATTTGGGGATTGTCATCAATTAGTCTCTCGGGGATTGCATGATTTCCCCAAAGGCTTTCACAGTCTACTTTGTGCACTGAGTATCTCTTCAAACTTCAGTGCATGTTTCTACCATTTGATGCTTTATTATTTGGCAATCTAGCTTCCACAAGAGCATTTCATGCAAAGACTTGTCTTCTTCTCCACTGGCAGGTAATTTCACTTGGACAGAGAATCAATAGGCTCAACGTGGAAAGGTTATCGCTGGAAGGTCTGTTTGATTCCACGGATCTCTCCTTTCTCATTAGGGAAGAAAATACGCTGTGCTAAATACTATACTTCATTGACTATTCTCAGGTCAGAAAGCGCACTTTCGACTTCTTGTCCTTCCGTCGCTGAGAGGATGATGGCAGCTGCCAAAAGTACATACTTGGAGGTTCATCCCAGCACAAACACACACACACACGCGCCCCCCCCACACACACACACACGAACACAATCACACACACACACTCACACGGTTTCCTACGTAAAGATTTCTTCCCTGCCATTGCTTTACCTAAAATAAGGCAACTGTGTGGCCACTGTCCCAACCCGGTTACACTCCTATTATATGTGCCTATCATCCTGAGGAGTAATTTGATTCAGGTGTTCTGGAAGTCATGCTGTGGGCTGTGTCTGTTGAATACCCAGCGATGCAAGGGGACACACCCTGTGACTCCTTCCTGAATTGAGTGCTGATATTTGATTGGCTTATCGCGCACCTGATGAGTGGGTGGGGTGTTCGCGGTTGGTGGGGGTGACTTACAGAAGGGCTGATGCGCCAGAGAGCTCGTCATTTGAAGACTCTCTCGGAAGGGATAGCGTCTTGCTGCAAACTGCGGTCCCAGCAGAAAAACCTTGTGATCCTTGTTCCAGTCGACATGGAGGACGACTCACTCTACTTGGGAGGTGAGTGGCAGTTCAACCACTTTTCAAAACTCACATCTTCTCGGCCCGATGCAGCTTTTGCTGAAATCCAGCGGACTTCTCTCCCTGAGAAGTCACCACTCTCATGTGAGACCCGTGTCGACCTCTGTGATGATTTGGCTCCTGTGGCAAGACAGCTTGCTCCCAGGGAGAAGCTTCCTCTGAGTAGCAGGAGACCTGCTGCGGTGGGGGCTGGGCTCCAGAATATGGGAAATACCTGCTACGTGAACGCTTCCTTGCAGTGCCTGACATACACACCGCCCCTTGCCAACTACATGCTGTCCCGGGAGCACTCTCAAACGTGTCATCGTCACAAGGGCTGCATGCTCTGTACGATGCAAGCTCACATCACACGGGCCCTCCACAATCCTGGCCACGTCATCCAGCCCTCACAGGCATTGGCTGCTGGCTTCCATAGAGGCAAGCAGGAAGATGCCCATGAATTTCTCATGTTCACTGTGGATGCCATGAAAAAGGCATGCCTTCCCGGGCACAAGCAGGTGGATCATCACTCTAAGGACACCACCCTCATCCACCAAATATTTGGAGGCTACTGGAGATCTCAAATCAAGTGTCTCCACTGCCACGGCATTTCAGACACTTTTGACCCTTACCTGGACATCGCCCTGGATATCCAGGCAGCTCAGAGTGTCCAGCAAGCTTTGGAACAGTTGGTGAAGCCCGAAGAACTCAATGGAGAGAATGCCTATCATTGTGGTGTTTGTCTCCAGAGGGCGCCGGCCTCCAAGACGTTAACTTTACACACCTCTGCCAAGGTCCTCATCCTTGTATTGAAGAGATTCTCCGATGTCACAGGCAACAAGATTGCCAAGAATGTGCAATATCCTGAGTGCCTTGACATGCAGCCATACATGTCTCAGACGAACACAGGACCTCTCGTCTATGTCCTCTATGCTGTGCTGGTCCACGCTGGGTGGAGTTGTCACAACGGACATTACTTCTCTTATGTCAAAGCTCAAGAAGGCCAGTGGTATAAAATGGATGATGCCGAGGTCACCGCCTCTAGCATCACTTCTGTCCTGAGTCAACAGGCCTACGTCCTCTTTTACATCCAGAAGAGTGAATGGGAAAGACACAGTGAGAGTGTGTCAAGAGGCAGGGAACCAAGAGCCCTTGGCGCAGAAGACACAGACAGGCGAGCAACGCAAGGAGAGCTCAAGAGAGACCACCCCTGCCTCCAGGCCCCCGAGTTGGACGAGCACTTGGTGGAAAGAGCCACTCAGGAAAGCACCTTAGACCACTGGAAATTCCTTCAAGAGCAAAACAAAACGAAGCCTGAGTTCAACGTCAGAAAAGTCGAAGGTACCCTGCCTCCCGACGTACTTGTGATTCATCAATCAAAATACAAGTGTGGGATGAAGAACCATCATCCTGAACAGCAAAGCTCCCTGCTAAACCTCTCTTCGACGACCCCGACACATCAGGAGTCCATGAACACTGGCACACTCGCTTCCCTGCGAGGGAGGGCCAGGAGATCCAAAGGGAAGAACAAACACAGCAAGAGGGCTCTGCTTGTGTGCCAGTGATCTCAGTGGAAGTACCGACCCACACGTAGGGGTGCACACACACACGCACACACACAGACACACACATAACTACACCCAGAAGCGCGCACGCAAACACACACACACCCACACAAACACGAACACCGTCAATCCTACATAAACTAATGAGGAGCCCAACTTTCTGTCTCTACAACAGGGACAACTGGATAGTGATGGCTACATCTCAGGATGAGCCCGCATATGGGAAACATCAAGTTTTGGGGTCGTGAGTCTTCCGAACCTCTGGTGGGACTGTCTGAGTGTTTGTGTTCATGATAGGTGACATTCAGTGTGTATTTCTGAATATGACCTACCGACGTGTAGGTTTGCGTGTGAGGTAATTGCAGGGGACTCGGTTTCGTATTTTCTCTTGGGGTGTGTTTCATTCGTCAGTTGTTGGTCGGCATGAGAAGGTGAAAGGTGGCTCATGTGGGACATCCGTGGATCATTCTCGCCACCTTGAATAGTGGAAACTGGAATGCATTTGGAAGAGAAGAACGGTGCTCTTCTTTCTTCCCCGGGCTCGCCGTTTTTACACTGGTTCCTGAATGGACCTCAGGCGCCCTGGGACTTGTGCTCTTGCTGGAACCCACATAACGCCGGAAGCGGACAGACCGACTTGCCTGTTTCACGGTGCCCGCTTCCCATGAGTCCAAACGGAAAATTTTCCCACGGGCATGTAAGTCATCTGGAAGTAAGCTGTATTGATAATAAAGGAAAGCAAACACAGGAGTGTGTGTATTCAACTGAAATAAATTCAGAAAGCCCTGCAATCAATCTCACTGGGTGTGTTTAAAAATGGCATTTGGGGAATTTCTGGGTCATTTGTCCAGCTGCGAAAGCTGCATCTCTGAAGCACAGTCCCTGTCCCGCAGTGAGACTTATTTATCCGACGTGGTGTTTCCGTGGAAATGATTGTGGGAAATGGCCCCTTCCTTTTCTCTATTTGCTGATTAGACTTCATGGTCCCTTTCTCGTCAGGTATAGTGATCAAAGTTGACCAACCCAGAGGAAAGCTGCCCAGGGCACAACTCAGGGCTCCGTAGAACCACAGAATCTTGGGCGCAACCCTGCTCAAGCACCCAAATGTGCATACGAACAGGGTCTCCGTGTGACGTGTGTGAAAACTACAGTGTGATGAGCATGACTGGCAGACAGCTTATCGATTGGGCTCCCCTCAAAATCGGTTATGAGCATTCAAGCACACCGATGCCCAGGTCCCGGCTGCAGGAATAAGACCCTCCAGGGTCTTGTGTGAAGCCTCGGCATCTGCATTGCTCATGCTTCTGGGGATCATTCTCCTGAAAATGGTGGCTCCTTTCTCCCTGTGGAGCATCTTTCTAAGCAGTGCTCTTTTCTTCCCCCAGGACACTTTACATCCGGCACAGGAAGCCTTCTGATGGAGCACACCTGGCCCATGAAAAGACAAGGGAAAGAAACGGGGCCAAAGGTCACAGTCCTCTCATCCCATCATCCTCCTTAAAATCATCCTAATTTCATGGGCCCTGAAGCCAGGGCTGTTTCTTTACACCTAGAGGCCTTGGCGCCGGGCCTCAATTCCGCCCTGTTCCTTACCGTCTAAGACATGTTGGGAAAATCCCTAGAGCCAGGATCTTCATTCCTGCTAAGCCAGACAGCCGGAAGACACACCCAAATTCTGTCCCTCTTACTTCAGGGAACATGTCCACTTTCGGCAGCATTACAATTTTGGCACCAAATGTGCTAACTGCAATTCCACCATACAATGCGTAACTGGAAATGGAGGCAACATCTCCGATCCTGAACGATCGATGCGAGAATCCAGGATATGCACGGCTTATTTTGGCCTTTTCCCACTGAAACAAGGGCCAGTATTAAAAATGGCACGCTATCCTCTGTTTCACTCCCTGCTTTTAAACGTCTCCGATGTTTCTCCCTGAGACAGGGCCTCACTTCCGTCAGCCGGGCTTTTCCACGGTATAATTTTCCTTGTTTGCTTTTGTCCAAATTAGAACTTTTTATTTCACCTCTAGGAAACGTTGATCCATTATCACATACGTATGGAAATATTATCACACATGCTGTGAGATACGTTGTTTTTATTTTCATCAATTCTTTAATAAACAAACGGTTATAGCTGGGATACCTTCTGAGTTCTCAAGTTTTTTGTTTCGTGTTTTCTTAAACTGCCGTCGCACGTCCGAAACCGCTCACTATGCAGTGTCATGACCGTCTCTCTTTTCTGGCAAACATAAATTTGGGGATTGTCATCAATTAGTCTCTCGGGGATTGCATGATTTCCCCAAAGGCTTTCACAGTCTACTTTGTGCACTGAGTATCTCTTCAAACTTCAGTGCATGTTTCTACCATTTCATGCTTTCTTATTTGGCAATCTAGCTTCCACAAGAGCATTTCATGCAAAGACTTGTCTTGTTCTCCACTGGCAGGTAATTTCACTCAGATAGAGAATCAATAGGCTCAACGTGGAAAGCTTATCGCTGGAAGGTCTGTTTGATTCCACGGATCTCTCCTTTCTCATTAGGGAAGAAAATACGCTGTGCTAAATACTATACTTCATTGACTATTCTCAGGTCAGAAAGCGCACTTTCGACTTCTTGTCTTTCCGTCGCTGAGAGGATGATGGCAGTTGCCAAAAGTACATACTTGGAAGTTCATCCCAGCACAAACACACACACACACGCGCCCCCCCCACACACACACACACGAACACAATCACACACACACACTCACACGGTTTCCTACGTAAAGATTTCTTCCCTGCCATTGCTTTACCTAAAATAAGGCAACTGTGTGGCCACTGTCCCAACCCGGTTACACTCCTATTATATGTGCCTATCATCCTGAGGAGTAATTTGATTCAGGTGTTCTGGAAGTCATGCTGTGGGCTGTGTCTGTTGAATTCCCAGCGATGCAAGGGGACACACCCTGTGACTCCTTCCTGAATTGAGTGCTGATATTTGATTGGCTTATCGCGCACCTGATGAGTGGGTGGGGTGTTCGCGGTTGGTGGGGTTGACTTACAGAAGGGCTGATGCGCCAGAGAGCTCGTCATTTGAAGACTCTCTCGGAAGGGATAGCGTCTTTCTGCAACCTGCGGTCCCAGCAGAAAAACCTTGTGATCCTTGTTCCAGTCGACATGGAGGAAGACTCACTCTACTTGGGAGGTGAGTGGCAGTTCAACCACTTTTCAAAACTCACATCTTCTCGGCCCGATGCAGCTTTTGCTGAAATCCAGCGGACTTCTCTCCCTGAGAAGTCACCACTCTCATGTGAGACCCGTGTCGACCTCTGTGATGATTTGGCTCCTGTGGCAAGACAGCTTGCTCCCAGGGAGAAGCTTCCTCTGAGTAACAGGAGACCTGCTGCGGTGGGGGCTGGGCTCCAGAATATGGGAAATACCTGCTACGTGAACGCTTCCTTGCAGTGCCTGACATACACACCGCCCCTTGCCAACTACATGCTGTCCCGGGAGCACTCTCAAACGTGTCATCGTCACAAGGGCTGCATGCTCTGTACGATGCAAGCTCACATCACACGGGCCCTCCACAATCCTGGCCACGTCATCCAGCCCTCACAGGCATTGGCTGCTGGCTTCCATAGAGGCAAGCAGGAAGATGCCCATGAATTTCTCATGTTCACTGTGGATGCCATGAAAAAGGCATGCCTTCCCGGGCACAAGCAGGTGGATCATCACTCTAAGGACACCACCCTCATCCACCAAATATTTGGAGGCTACTGGAGATCTCAAATCAAGTGTCTCCACTGCCACGGCATTTCAGACACTTTTGACCCTTACCTGGACATCGCCCTGGATATCCAGGCAGCTCAGAGTGTCCAGCAAGCTTTGGAACAGTTGGTGAAGCCCGAAGAACTCAATGGAGAGAATGCCTATCATTGTGGTGTTTGTCTCCAGAGGGCGCCGGCCTCCAAGATGTTAACTTTACTCACCTCTGCCAAGGTCCTCATCCTTGTATTGAAGAGATTCTCCGATGTCACAGGCAACAAGATTGCCAAGAATGTGCAATATCCTGAGTGCCTTGACATGCAGCCATACATGTCTCAGCCGAACACAGGACCTCTCGTCTATGTCCTCTATGCTGTGCTGGTCCACGCTGGGTGGAGTTGTCACAACGGACATTACTTCTCTTATGTCAAAGCTCAAGAAGGCCAGTGGTATAAAATGGATGATGCCGAGGTCACCGCCTCTAGCATCACTTCTGTCCTGAGTCAACAGGCCTACGTCCTCTTTTACATCCAGAAGAGTGAATGGGAAAGACACAGTGAGAGTGTGTCAAGAGGCAGAGAACCAAGAGCCCTTGGCGCAGAAGACACAGACAGGCGAGCAACGCAAGGAGAGCTCAAGAGAGACCACCCCTGCCTCCAGGCCCCCGAGTTGGACGAGCACTTGGTGGAAAGAGCCACTCAGGAAAGCACCTTAGACCACTGGAAATTCCTTCAAGAGCAAAACAAAACGAAGCCTGAGTTCAACGTCAGAAAAGTCGAAGGTACCCTGCCTCCCGACGTACTTGTGATTCATCAATCAAAATACAAGTGTGGGATGAAGAACCATCATCCTGAACAGCAAAGCTCCCTGCTAAAACTCTCTTCGACGACCCCGACACATCAGGAGTCCATGAACACTGGCACACTCGCTTCCCTGCGAGGGAGGGCCAGGAGATCCAAAGGGAAGAACAAACACAGCAAGAGGGCTCTGCTTGTGTGCCAGTGATCTCAGTGGAAGTACCGACCCACACGTAGGGGTGCACACACACACGCACACACACAGACACACACATAACTACACCCAGAAGCGCGCACGCAAACACACACACACCCACACAAACACGAACACCGTCAATCCTACATAAACTAATGAGGAGCCCAACTTTCTGTCTCTACAACAGGGACAACTGGATAGTGATGGCTACATCTCAGGATGAGCCCGCATATGGGAAACATCAAGTTTTGGGGTCGTGAGTCTTCCGAACCTCTGGAGGGACTGTCTGAGTGTTTGTGTTCATGATAGGTGACATTCAGTGTGTATTTCTGAATATGACCTACCGACGCGTAGGTTTGCGTGTGAGGTAATTGCAGGGGACTCGGTTTCGTATTTTCTCTTGGGGTGTGTTTCATTCGTCAGTTGTTGGTCGGCATGAGAAGGTGAAAGGTGGCTCATGTGGGACATCCGTGGATCATTCTCGCCACCTTGAATAGTGGAAACTGGAATGCATTTGGAAGAGAAGAACGGTGCTCTTCTTTCTTCCCCGGGCTCGCCGTTTTTACACTGGTTCCTGAATGGACCTCAGGCGCCCTGGGACTTGTGCTCTTGCTGGAACCCACATAACGCCGGAAGCGGACAGACCGACTTGCCTGTTTCACGGTGCCCGCTTCCCATGAGTCGAAACGGAAAATTTTCCCACGGGCATGTAAGTCATCTGGAAGTAAGCTGTATTGATAATAAAGGAAAGCAAACACAGGAGTGTGTGTATTCAACTGAAATAAATTCAGAAAGCCCTGCAATCAATCTCACTGGGTGTGTTTAAAAATGGCATTTGGGGAATTTCTGGGTCATTTGTCCAGCTGCGAAAGCTGCATCTCTGAAGCACAGTCCCTGTCCCGCAGTGAGACTTATTGATCCGACGTGGTGTTTCCGTGGAAATGATTGTGGGAAATGGCCCCTTCCTTTTCTCTATTTGCTGATTAGACTTCATGGTCCCTTTCTCGTCAGGTACAGTGATCAAAGTTGACCAACCCCAGAGGAAAGCTGCCCAGGGCACAACTCAGGGCTCCGTAGAACCACAGAATCTTGGGCGCAACCCTGCTCAAGCACCCAAATGTGCATACGAACAGGGTCTCCGTGTGACGTGTGTGAAAACTACAGTGTGATGAGCATGACTGGCAGACAGCTTATCGATTGGGCTCCCCTCAAAATCGGTTATGAGCATTCAAGCACACCGATGCCCAGGTCCCGGCTGCAGGAATAAGACCCTCCAGGGTCTTGTGTGAAGCCTCGGCATCTGCATTGCTCATGCTTCTGGGGATCATTCTCCTGAAAATGGTGGCTCCTTTCTCCCTGTGGAGCATCTTTCTAAGCAGTGCTCTTTTCTTCCCCCAGGACACTTTACATCCGGCACAGGAAGCCTTCTGATGGAGCACACCTGGCCCATGAAAAGACAAGGGAAAGAAACGGGGCCAAAGGTCACAGTCCTCTCATCCCATCATCCTCCTTAAAATCATCCTAATTTCATGGGCCCTGAAGCCAGGGCTGTTTCTTTACACCTAGAGGCCTTGGCGCCGGGCCTCAATTCCGCCCTGTTCCTTACCGTCTAAGACATGTTGGGAAAATCCCTAGAGCCAGGATCTTCATTCCTGCTAAGCCAGACAGCCGGAAGACACACCCAAATTCTGTCCCTCTTACTTCAGGGAACATGTCCACTTTCGGCAGCATTACAATTTTGGCACCAAATGTGCTAACTGCAATTCCACCATACAATGCGTAACTGGAAATGGAGGCAACATCTCCGATCCTGAACGATCGATGCGAGAATCCAGGATATGCACGGCTTATTTTGGCCTTTTCCCACTGAAACAAGGGCCAGTATTAAAAATGGCACGCTATCCTCTGTTTCACTCCCTGCTTTTAAACGTCTCTGATGTTTCTCCCTGAGACAGGGCCTCACTTCCGTCAGCCGGGCTTTTCTACGGTATAATTTTCCTTGTTTGCTTTTGTCCAAATTAGAACTTTTTATTTTATCTCTAGGAAACGTTGATCCATTATCACATACGTATGGAAATATTATCACACATGCTGTGAGATACGTTGTTTTTATTTTCATCAATTCTTAATAAACAAAAGGTTATAGCTGGGATACCTTCTGAGTTCTCAAGTTTTTTGTTTCGTGTTTTCTTAAACTGCCGTCGCACGTCCGAAACCGCTCACTATGCAGTGTCATGACCGTCTCTCTTTTCTGGCAAACATAAATTTGGGGATTGTCATCAATTAGTCTCTCGGGGATTGCATGATTTCCCCAAAGGCTTTCACTGTCTACTTTGTGCACTGAGTATCTCTTCAAACTTCAGTGCATGTTTCTACCATTTGATGCTTTATTATTTGGCAATCTAGCTTCCACAAGAGCATTTCATGCAAAGACTTGTCTTCTTCTCCACTGGCAGGTAATTTCACTCGGACAGAGAATCAATAGGCTCAACGTGGAAAGGTTATCGCTGGAAGGTCTGTTTGATTCCACGGATCTCTCCTTTCTCACTAGGGAAGAAAATACGCTGTGCTAAATACTATACTTCATTGACTATTCTCAGGTCAGAAAGCGCACTTTCGACTTCTTGTCCTTCCGTCGCTGAGAGGATGATGGCAGCTGCCAAAAGTAACTACTTGGAGGTTCATCCCAGCACAAACACACACACACACATGCCCCCCCCACACACACACAAACACACTCACACACACACACGCACACGGTTTCCTAGGTAAAGATTTCTTCCCTGCCATTGCTTTACCTAAAATAAGGCAACTGTGAGGCCACTGTCCCAACCCGGTTACACTCCTATTATATGTGCCTATCATCCTGAGGAGTAATTTGATTCAGGTGTTCTGGAAGTCATGCTGTGGGCTGTGTCTGTTGAATTCCCAGCGATGCCAGGGGACACACCCTGTGACTCCTTCCTGAATTGAGTGCTGATATTTGATTGGCTTATCGCGCACCTGATGAGTGGGTGGGGTGTTCGCGGTTCGTGGGGGTGACTTACAGAAGGGCTGATGCGGCCAGAGAGCTCGTCATTTGAAGACTCTCTCGGAAGGGATAGCGTCTTTCTGCAACCTGCGGTCCCAGCAGACAAACCTTGTGATCCTTGTTCCAGTCGACATGGAGGAGGACTCACTCTACTTGGGTGGTGAGTGGCAGTTCAACCACTTTTCAAAACTCACATCTTCTCGGCTCGATGCAGCTTTTGCTGAAATCCAGCGGACTTCTCTCCCTGAGAAGTCACCACTCTCATGTGAGACCCGTGTCGACCTCTGTGATGATTTGGTTCCTGAGGCAAGACAGCTTGCTCCCAGGGAGAAGCTTCCTCTGAGTAGCAGGAGACCTGCTGCGGTGGGGGCTGGGCTCCAGAATATGGGAAATACCTGCTACGTGAACGCTTCCTTGCAGTGCCTGACATACACACCGCCCCTTGCCAACTACATGCTGTCCCGGGAGCACTCTCAAACGTGTCATCGTCACAAGGGCTGCATGCTCTGTACTATGCAAGCTCACATCACACGGGCCCTCCACAATCCTGGCCACGTCATCCAGCCCTCACAGGCATTGGCTGCTGGCTTCCATAGAGGCAAGCAGGAAGATGCCCATGAATTTCTCATGTTCACTGTGGATGCCATGAAAAAGGCATGCCTTCCCGGGCACAAGCAGGTAGATCATCCCTCTAAGGACACCACCCTCATCCACCAAATATTTGGAGGCTACTGGAGATCTCAAATCAAGTGTCTCCACTGCCACGGCATTTCAGACACTTTTGACCCTTACCTGGACATCGCCCTGGATATCCAGGCAGCTCAGAGTGTCCAGCAAGCTTTGGAACAGTTGGTGAAGCCCGAAGAACTCAATGGAGAGAATGCCTATCATTGTGGTGTTTGTCTCCAGAGGGCGCCGGCCTCCAAGACGTTAACTTTACACACCTCTGCCAAGGTCCTCATCCTTGTATTGAAGAGATTCTCCGATGTGACAGGCAACAAGATTGCCAAGAATGTGCAATATCCTGAGTGCCTTGACATGCAGCCATACATGTCTCAGCAGAACACAGGACCTCTTGTCTATGTCCTCTATGCTGTGCTGGTCCACGCTGGGTGGAGTTGTCACAACGGACATTACTTCTCTTATGTCAAAGCTCAAGAAGGCCAATGGTATAAAATGGATGATGCCGAGGTCACCGCCGCTAGCATCACTTCTGTCCTGAGTCAACAGGCCTACGTCCTCTTTTACATCCAGAAGAGTGAATGGGAAAGACACAGTGAGAGTGTGTCAAGAGGCAGGGAACCAAGAGCCCTTGGCGCAGAAGACACAGACAGGCGAGCAACGCAAGGAGAGCTCAAGAGAGACCACCCCTGCCTCCAGGCCCCCGAGTTGGACGAGCACTTGGTGGAAAGAGCCACTCAGGAAAGCACCTTAGACCGCTGGAAATTCCTTCAAGAGCAAAACAAAACGAAGCCTGAGTTCAACGTCAGAAAAGTCGAAGGTACCCTGCCTCCCGACGTACTTGTGATTCATCAATCAAAATACAAGTGTGGGATGAAGAACCATCATCCTGAACAGCAAAGCTCCCTGCTAAACCTCTCTTCGTCGACCCCGACACATCAGGAGTCCATGAACACTGGCACACTCGCTTCCCTGCGAGGGAGGGCCAGGAGATCCAAAGGGAAGAACAAACACAGCAAGAGGGCTCTGCTTGTGTGCCAGTGATCTCAGTGGAAGTACCGACCCACACGTAGGGGTGCACACACACACGCACACACACAGACACACACATAACTACACCCAGAAGCGCGCACGCAAACACACACACACCCACACAAACACGAACACCGTCAATCCTACATAAACTAATGAGGAGCCCAAGTTTCTGTCTCTACAACAGGGACAACTGGATAGTGATGGCTACATCTCAGGATGAGCCCGCATATGGGAAACATCAAGTTTTGGGGTCGTGAGTCTTCCGAACCTCTGGAGGGACTGTCTGAGTGTTTGTGTTCATGATAGGTGACATTCAGTGTGTATTTCTGAATATGACCTACCGACGTGTAGGTTTGCGTGTGAGGTAATTGCAGGGGACTCGGTTTCGTATTTTCTCTTGGGGTGTGTTTCATTCGTCAGTTGTTGGTCGGCATGAGAAGGTGAAAGGTGGCTCATGTGGGACATCCGTGGATCATTCTCGCCACCTTGAATAGTGGAAACTGGAATGCATTTGGAAGAGAAGAACGGTGCTCTTCTTTCTTCCCCGGGCTCGCCGTTTTTACACTGGTTCCTGAATGGACCTCAGGCGCCCTGGGACTTGTGCTCTTGCTGGAACCCACATAACGCCGGAAGCGGACAGACCGACTTGCCTGTTTCACGGTGCCCGCTTCCCATGAGTCCAAACGGAAAATTTTCCCACGGGCATGTAAGTCATCTGGAAGTAAGCTGTATTGATAATAAAGGAAAGCAAACACAGGAGTGTGTGTATTCAACTGAAATAAATTCAGAAAGCCCTGCAATCAATCTCACTGGGTGTGTTTAAAAATGGCATTTGGGGAATTTCTGGGTCATTTGTCCAGCTGCGAAAGCTGCATCTCTGAAGCACAGTCCCTGTCCCGCAGTGAGACTTATTGATCCGACGTGGTGTTTCCGTGGAAATGATTGTGGGAAATGGCCCCTTCCTTTTCTCTATTTGCTGATTAGACTTCATGGTCCCTTTCTCGTCAGGTACAGTGATCAAAGTTGACCAGCCCCAGAGGAAAGCTGCCCAGGGCACAACTCAGGGCTCCGTAGAACCACAGAATCTTGGGCGCAACCCTGCTCAAGCACCCAAATGTGCATACGAACAGGGTCTCCGTGTGACGTGTGTGAAAACTACAGTGTGATGAGCATGACTGGCAGACAGCTTATCGATTGGGCTCCCCTCAAAATCGGTTATGAGCATTCAAGCACACCGATGCCCAGGTCCCGGCTGCAGGAATAAGACCCTCCAGGGTCTTGTGTGAAGCCTCGGCATCTGCATTGCTCATGCTTCTGGGGATCATTCTCCTGAAAATGGTGGCTCCTTTCTCCCTGTGGAGCATCTTTCTAAGCAGTGCTCTTTTCTTCCCCCAGGACACTTTACATCCGGCACAGGAAGCCTTCTGATGGAGCACACCTGGCCCATGAAAAGACAAGGGAAAGAAACGGGGCCAAAGGTCACAGTCCTCTCATCCCATCATCCTCCTTAAAATCATCCTAATTTCATGGGCCCTGAAGCCAGGGCTGTTTCTTTACACCTAGAGGCCTTGGCGCCGGGCCTCAATTCCGCCCTGTTCCTTACCGTCTAAGACGTGTTGGGAAAATCCCTAGAGCCAGGATCTTCATTCCTGCTAAGCCAGACAGCCGGAAGACACACCCAAATTCTGTCCCTCTTACTTCAGGGAACATGTCCACTTTCGGCAGCATTACAATTTTGGCACCAAATGTGCTAACTGCAATTCCACCATACAATGCGTAACTGGAAATGGAGGCAACATCTCCGATCCTGAACGATCGATGCGAGAATCCAGGATATGCACGGCTTATTTTGGCCTTTTCCCACTGAAACAAGGGCCAGTATTAAAAATGGCACGCTATCCTCTGTTTCACTCCCTGCTTTTAAACGTCTCCGATGTTTCTCCCTGAGACAGGGCCTCACTTCCGTCAGCCGGGCTTTTCTACGGTATAATTTTCCTTGTTTGCTTTTGTCCAAATTAGAACTTTTTATTTCATCTCTAGGAAACGTTGATCCATTATCACATACGTATGGAAATATTATCACACATGCTGTGAGATACGTTGTTTTTATTTTCATCAATTCTTTAATAAACAAAAGGGTATAGCTGGGATACCTTCTGAGTTCTCAAGTTTTTTGTTTCGTGTTTTCTTAAACTGCCGTCGCACGTCCGAAACCGCTCACTATGCAGTGTCATGACCGTCTCTCTTTTCTGGCAAACATAAATTTGGGGATTGTCATCAATTAGTCTCTCGGGGATTGCATGATTTCCCCAAAGGCTTTCACTGTCTACTTTGTGCACTGAGTATCTCTTCAAACTTCAGTGCATGTTTCTACCATTTGATGCTTTATTATTTGGCAATCTAGCTTCCACAAGAGCATTTCATGCAAAGACTTGTCTTCTTCTCCACTGGCAGGTAATTTCACTCGGACAGAGAATCAATAGGCTCAACGTGGAAAGGTTATCGCTGGAAGGTCTGTTTGATTCCACGGATCTCTCCTTTCTCACTAGGGAAGAAAATACGCTGTGCTAAATACTATACTTCATTGACTATTCTCAGGTCAGAAAGCGCACTTTCGACTTCTTGTCCTTCCGTCGCTGAGAGGATGATGGCAGCTGCCAAAAGTAACTACTTGGAGGTTCATCCCAGCACAAACACACACACACACATGCCCCCCCCACACACACACAAACACACTCACACACACACACGCACACGGTTTCCTAGGTAAAGATTTCTTCCCTGCCATTGCTTTACCTAAAATAAGGCAACTGTGAGGCCACTGTCCCAACCCGGTTACACTCCTATTATATGTGCCTATCATCCTGAGGAGTAATTTGATTCAGGTGTTCTGGAAGTCATGCTGTGGGCTGTGTCTGTTGAATTCCCAGCGATGCCAGGGGACACACCCTGTGACTCCTTCCTGAATTGAGTGCTGATATTTGATTGGCTTATCGCGCACCTGATGAGTGGGTGGGGTGTTCGCGGTTCGTGGGGGTGACTTACAGAAGGGCTGATGCGGCCAGAGAGCTCGTCATTTGAAGACTCTCTCGGAAGGGATAGCGTCTTTCTGCAACCTGCGGTCCCAGCAGACAAACCTTGTGATCCTTGTTCCAGTCGACATGGAGGAGGACTCACTCTACTTGGGTGGTGAGTGGCAGTTCAACCACTTTTCAAAACTCACATCTTCTCGGCTCGATGCAGCTTTTGCTGAAATCCAGCGGACTTCTCTCCCTGAGAAGTCACCACTCTCATGTGAGACCCGTGTCGACCTCTGTGATGATTTGGTTCCTGAGGCAAGACAGCTTGCTCCCAGGGAGAAGCTTCCTCTGAGTAGCAGGAGACCTGCTGCGGTGGGGGCTGGGCTCCAGAATATGGGAAATACCTGCTACGTGAACGCTTCCTTGCAGTGCCTGACATACACACCGCCCCTTGCCAACTACATGCTGTCCCGGGAGCACTCTCAAACGTGTCATCGTCACAAGGGCTGCATGCTCTGTACTATGCAAGCTCACATCACACGGGCCCTCCACAATCCTGGCCACGTCATCCAGCCCTCACAGGCATTGGCTGCTGGCTTCCATAGAGGCAAGCAGGAAGATGCCCATGAATTTCTCATGTTCACTGTGGATGCCATGAAAAAGGCATGCCTTCCCGGGCACAAGCAGGTAGATCATCCCTCTAAGGACACCACCCTCATCCACCAAATATTTGGAGGCTACTGGAGATCTCAAATCAAGTGTCTCCACTGCCACGGCATTTCAGACACTTTTGACCCTTACCTGGACATCGCCCTGGATATCCAGGCAGCTCAGAGTGTCCAGCAAGCTTTGGAACAGTTGGTGAAGCCCGAAGAACTCAATGGAGAGAATGCCTATCATTGTGGTGTTTGTCTCCAGAGGGCGCCGGCCTCCAAGACGTTAACTTTACACACTTCTGCCAAGGTCCTCATCCTTGTATTGAAGAGATTCTCCGATGTCACAGGCAACAAGATTGCCAAGAATGTGCAATATCCTGAGTGCCTTGACATGCAGCCATACATGTCTCAGCAGAACACAGGACCTCTTGTCTATGTCCTCTATGCTGTGCTGGTCCATGCTGGGTGGAGTTGTCACAACGGACATTACTTCTCTTATGTCAAAGCTCAAGAAGGCCAGTGGTATAAAATGGATGATGCCGAGGTCACCGCCGCTAGCATCACATCTGTCCTGAGTCAACAGGCCTACGTCCTCTTTTACATCCAGAAGAGTGAATGGGAAAGACACAGTGAGAGTGTGTCAAGAGGCAGGGAACCAAGAGCCCTTGGCGCAGAAGACACAGACAGGCGAGTAACGCAAGGAGAGCTCAAGAGAGACCACCCCTGACTCCAGGCCCCCGAGTTGGACGAGCACTTGGTGGAAAGAGCCACTCAGGAAAGCACCTTAGACCACTGGAAATTCCTTCAAGAGCAAAACAAAACGAAGCCTGAGTTCAACGTCAGAAAAGTCGAAGGTACCCTGCCTCCCGACGTACTTGTGATTCATCAATCAAAATACAAGTGTGGGATGAAGAACCATCATCCTGAACAGCAAAGCTCCCTGCTAAACCTCTCTTCGACGACCCCGACACATCAGCAGTCCATGAACAATGGCACACTCGCTTCCCTGCGAGGGAGGGCCAGGAGATCCAAAGGGAAGAACAAACACAGCAAGAGGGCTCTGCTTGTGTGCCAGTGATCTCAGTGGAAGTACCGACCCACACGTAGGGGTGCACACACACACGCACACACACAGACACACACATAACTACACCCAGAAGCGCGCACGCAAACACACACACACCCACACAAACACGAACACCGTCAATCCTACATAAACTAATGAGGAGCCCAAGTTTCTGTCTCTACAACAGGGACAACTGGATAGTGATGGCTACATCTCAGGATGAGCCCGCATATGGGAAACATCAAGTTTTGGGGTCGTGAGTCTTCCGAACCTCTGGTGGGACTGTCTGAGTGTTTGTGTTCATGATAGGTGACATTCAGTGTGTATTTCTGAATATGACCTACCGACGTGTAGGTTTGCGTGTGAGGTAATTGCAGGGGACTCGGTTTCGTATTTTCTCTTGGGGTGTGTTTCATTCGTCAGTTGTTGGTCGGCATGAGAAGGTGAAAGGTGGCTCATGTGGGACATCCGTGGATCATTCTCGCCACCTTGAATAGTGGAAACTGGAATGCATTTGGAAGAGAAGAACGGTGCTCTTCTTTCTTCCCCGGGCTCGCCGTTTTTACACTGGTTCCTGAATGGACCTCAGGCGCCCTGGGACTTGTGCTCTTGCTGGAACCCACATAACGCCGGAAGCGGACAGACCGACTTGCCTGTTTCACGGTGCCCGCTTCCCATGAGTCCAAACGGAAAATTTTCCCACGGGCATGTAAGTCATCTGGAAGTAAGCTGTATTGATAATAAAGGAAAGCAAACACAGGAGTGTGTGTATTCAACTGAAATAAATTCAGAAAGCCCTGCAATCAATCTCACTGGGTGTGTTTAAAAATGGCATTTGGGGAATTTCTGGGTCATTTGTCCAGCTGCGAAAGCTGCATCTCTGAAGCACAGTCCCTGTCCCGCAGTGAGACTTATTTATCCGACGTGGTGTTTCCGTGGAAATGATTGTGGGAAATGGCCCCTTCCTTTTCTCTATTTGCTGATTAGACTTCATGGTCCCTTTCTCGTCAGGTATAGTGATCAAAGTTGACCAACCCAGAGGAAAGCTGCCCAGGGCACAACTCAGGGCTCCGTAGAACCACAGAATCTTGGGCGCAACCCTGCTCAAGCACCCAAATGTGCATACGAACAGGGTCTCCGTGTGACGTGTGTGAAAACTACAGTGTGATGAGCATGACTGGCAGACAGCTTATCGATTGGGCTCCCCTCAAAATCGGTTATGAGCATTCAAGCACACCGATGCCCAGGTCCCGGCTGCAGGAATAAGACCCTCCAGGGTCTTGTGTGAAGCCTCGGCATCTGCATTGCTCATGCTTCTGGGGATCATTCTCCTGAAAATGGTGGCTCCTTTCTCCCTGTGGAGCATCTTTCTAAGCAGTGCTCTTTTCTTCCCCCAGGACACTTTACATCCGGCACAGGAAGCCTTCTGATGGAGCACACCTGGCCCATGAAAAGACAAGGGAAAGAAACGGGGCCAAAGGTCACAGTCCTCTCATCCCATCATCCTCCTTAAAATCATCCTAATTTCATGGGCCCTGAAGCCAGGGCTGTTTCTTTACACCTAGAGGCCTTGGCGCCGGGCCTCAATTCCGCCCTGTTCCTTACCGTCTAAGACGTGTTGGGAAAATCCCTAGAGCCAGGATCTTCATTCCTGCTAAGCCAGACAGCCGGAAGACACACCCAAATTCTGTCCCTCTTACTTAGGGAACATGTCCACTTTCGGCAGCATTACAATTTTGGCACCAAATGTGCTAACTGCAATTCCACCATACAATGCGTAACTGGAAATGGAGGCAACATCTCCGATCCTGAACGATCGATGCGAGAATCCAGGATATGCACGGCTTATTTTGGCCTTTTCCCACTGATACAAGGGCCAGTATTAAAAATGGCACGCTATCCTCTGTTTCACTCCCTGCTTTTAAACGTCTCCGATGTTTCTCCCTGAGACAGGGCCTCACTTCCGTCAGCCGGGCTTTTCTACGGTATAATTTTCCTTGTTTGCTTTTGTCCAAATTAGAACTTTTTATTTCATCTCTAGGAAACGTTGATCCATTATCACATACGTATGGAAATATTATCACACATGCTGTGAGATACGTTGTTTTTATTTTCATCAATTCTTTAATAAACAAAAGGGTATAGCTGGGATACCTTCTGAGTTCTCAAGTTTTTTGTTTCGTGTTTTCTTAAACTGCCGTCGCACGTCCGAAACCGCTCACTATGCAGTGTCATGACCGTCTCTCTTTTCTGGCAAACATAAATTTGGGGATTGTCATCAATTAGTCTCTCGGGGATTGCATGATTTCCCCAAAGGCTTTCACAGTCTACTTTGTGCACTGAGTATCTCTTCAAACTTCAGTGCATGTTTCTACCATTTGATTCTTTCTTATTTGGCAATCTAGCTTCCACAAGAGCATTTCATGCAAAGACTTGTCTTGTTCTCCACTGGCAGGTAATTTCACTCGGACAGAGAATCAATAGGCTCAACGTGGAAAGGTTATCGCTGGAAGGTCTGTTTGATTCCACGGATCTCTCCTTTCTCACTAGGGAAGAAAATACGCTGTGCTAAATACTATACTTCATTGACTATTCTCAGGTCAGAAAGCGCACTTTCGACTTCTTGTCCTTCCGTCGCTGAGAGGATGATGGCAGCTGCCAAAAGTACCTACTTGGAGGTTCATCCCAGCACAAACACACACACACACACGCCCCCCCCCACACACACACAAACACACTCACACACACACACGCACACGGTTTCCTAGGTAAAGATTTCTTCCCTGCCATTGCTTTACCTAAAATAAGGCAACTGTGAGGCCACTGTCCCAACCCGGTTACACTCCTATTATATGTGCCTATCATCCTGAGGAGTAATTTGATTCAGGTGTTCTGGAAGTCATGCTGTGGGCTGTGTCTGTTGAATTCCCAGCGATGCCAGGGGACACACCCTGTGACTCCTTCCTGAATTGAGTGCTGATATTTGATTGGCTTATCGCGCACCTGATGAGTGGGTGGGGTGTTCGCGGTTGGTGGGGGTGACTTACAGAAGGGCTGATGCGGCCAGAGAGCTCGTCATTTGAAGACTCTCTCGGAAGGGATAGCGTCTTTCTGCAACCTGCGGTCCCAGCAGACAAACCTTGTGATCCTCGTTCCAGTCGACATGGAGGACGACTCACTCTACTTGGGAGGTGAGTGGCAGTTCAACCACTTTTCAAAACTCACATCTTCTCGGCCCGATGCAGCTTTTGCTGAAATCCAGCGGACTTCTCTCCCTGAGAAGTCACCACTCTCATGTGAGACCCGTGTCGACCTCTGTGATGATTTGGCTCCTGTGGCAAGACAGCTTGCTCCCAGGGAGAAGCTTCCTCTGAGTAGCAGGAGACCTGCTGCGGTGGGGGCTGGGCTCCAGAATATGGGAAATACCTGCTACGTGAACGCTTCCTTGCAGTGCCTGACATACACACCGCCCCTTGCCAACTACATGCTGTCCCGGGAGCACTCTCAAACGTGTCATCGTCACAAGGGCTGCATGCTCTGTACGATGCAAGCTCACATCACACGGGCCCTCCACAATCCTGGCCACGTCATCCAGCCCTCACAGGCATTGGCTGCTGGCTTCCATAGAGGCAAGCAGGAAGATGCCCATGAATTTCTCATGTTCACTGTGGATGCCATGAAAAAGGCATGCCTTCCCGGGCACAAGCAGGTGGATCATCACTCTAAGGACACCACCCTCATCCACCAAATATTTGGAGGCTACTGGAGATCTCAAATCAAGTGTCTCCACTGCCACGGCATTTCAGACACTTTTGACCCTTACCTGGACATCGCCCTGGATATCCAGGCAGCTCAGAGTGTCCAGCAAGCTTTGGAACAGTTGGTGAAGCCCGAAGAACTCAATGGAGAGAATGCCTATCATTGTGGTGTTTGTCTCCAGAGGGCGCCGGCCTCCAAGACGTTAACTTTACACACCTCTGCCAAGGTCCTCATCCTTGTATTGAAGAGATTCTCCGATGTCACAGGCAACAAGATTGACAAGAATGTGCAATATCCTGAGTGCCTTGACATGAAGCTATACATGTCTCAGACGAACTCAGGACCTCTCGTCTATGTCCTCTATGCTGTGCTGGTCCACGCTGGGTGGAGTTGTCACAACGGACATTACTTCTCTTATGTCAAAGCTCAAGAAGGCCAGTGGTATAAAATGGATGATGCCGAGGTCACCGCCTCTAGCATCACTTCTGTCCTGAGTCAACAGGCCTACGTCCTCTTTTACATCCAGAAGAGTGAATGGGAAAGACACAGTGAGAGTGTGTCAAGAGGCAGGGAACCAAGAGCCCTTGGCGCAGAAGACACAGACAGGCGAGCAACGCAAGGAGAGCTCAAGAGAGACCACCCCTGCCTCCAGGCCCCCGAGTTGGACGAGCACTTGGTGGAAAGAGCCACTCAGGAAAGCACCTTAGACCACTGGAAATTCCTTCAAGAGCAAAACAAAACGAAGCCTGAGTTCAACGTCAGAAAAGTCGAAGGTACCCTGCCTCCCGACGTACTTGTGATTCATCAATCAAAATACAAGTGTGGGATGAAGAACCATCATCC
The DNA here is from genome assembly GCF_000001405.40 of Homo sapiens. Classification (NCBI taxonomy): domain Eukaryota; kingdom Metazoa; phylum Chordata; class Mammalia; order Primates; family Hominidae; genus Homo; species Homo sapiens. The sequence goes on from NC_000004.12 coordinate 9,235,824, forward strand.
TGAACAGCAAAGCTCCCTGCTAAACCTCTCTTCGACGACCCCGACACATCAGGAGTCCATGAACACTGGCACACTCGCTTCCCTGCGAGGGAGGGCCAGGAGATCCAAAGGGAAGAACAAACACAGCAAGAGGGCTCTGCTTGTGTGCCAGTGGTCTCAGTGGAAGTACCGACCCACACGTAGGGGTGCACACACACACGCACACACACAGACACACACATAACTACACCCAGAAGCGCACACGCAAACACACACACCCACCCAAACACGAACACCGTCAATCCTACATAAACTAATGAGGAGCCCAAGTTTCTGTCTCTACAACAGGGACAACTGGATAGTGATGGCTACATCTCAGGATGAGCCCGCATATGGGAAACATCAAGTTTTGGGGTCGTGAGTCTTCCGAACCTCTGGTGGGACTGTCTGAGTGTTTGTGTTCATGATAGGTGACATTCAGTGTGTATTTCTGAATATGACCTACCGACGTGTAGGTTTGCGTGTGAGGTAATTGCAGGGGACTCGGTTTCGTATTTTCTCTTGGGGTGTGTTTCATTCGTCAGTTGTTGGTCGGCATGAGAAGGTGAAAGGTGGCTCATGTGGGACATCCGTGGATCATTCTCGCCACCTTGAATAGTGGAAACTGGAATGCATTTGGAAGAGAAGAACGGTGCTCTTCTTTCTTCCCCGGGCTCGCCGTTTTTACACTGGTTCCTGAATGGACCTCAGGCGCCCTGGGACTTGTGCTCTTGCTGGAACCCACATAACGCCGGAAGCGGACAGACCGACTTGCCTGTTTCACGGTGCCCGCTTCCCATGAGTCCAAACGGAAAATTTTCCCACGGGCATGTAAGTCATCTGGAAGTAAGCTGTATTGATAATAAAGGAAAGCAAACACAGGAGTGTGTGTATTCAACTGAAATAAATTCAGAAAGCCCTGAAATCAATCTCACTGGGTGTGTTTAAAAATGGCATTTGGGGAATTTCTGGGTCATTTGTCCAGCTGCGAAAGCTGCATCTCTGAAGCACAGTCCCTGTCCCGCAGTGAGACTTATTGATCCGACGTGGTGTTTCCGTGGAAATGATTGTGGGAAATGGCCCCTTCCTTTTCTCTATTTGCTGATTAGACTTCATGGTCCCTTTCTCGTCAGGTATAGTGATCAAAGTTGACCAACCCCAGAGGAAAGCTGCCCAGGGCACAACTCAGAGCTCCGTAGAACCACAGAATCTTGGGCGCAACCCTGCTCAAGCACCCAAATGTGCATACGAACAGGGTCTCCGTGTGACGTGTGTGAAAACTACAGTGTGATGAGCATGACTGGCAGACAGCTTATCGATTGGGCTCCCCTCAAAATCGGTTATGAGCATTCAAGCACACCGATGCCCAGGTCCCGGCTGCAGGAATAAGACCCTCCAGGGTCTTGTGTGAAGCCTCGGCATCTGCATTGCTCATGCTTCTGGGGATCATTCTCCTGAAAATGGTGGCTCCTTTCTCCCTGTGGAGCATCTTTCTAAGCAGTGCTCTTTTCTTCCCCCAGGACACTTTACATCCGGCACAGGAAGCCTTCTGATGGAGCACACCTGGCCCATGAAAAGACAAGGGAAAGAAACGGGGCCAAAGGTCACAGTCCTCTCATCCCATCATCCTCCTTAAAATCATCCTAATTTCATGGGCCCTGAAGCCAGGGCTGTTTCTTTACACCTAGAGGCCTTGGCGCCGGGCCTCAATTCCGCCCTGTTCCTTACCGTCTAAGACATGTTGGGAAAATCCCTAGAGCCAGGATCTTCATTCCTGCTAAGCCAGACAGCCGGAAGACACACCCAAATTCTGTCCCTCTTACTTCAGGGAACATGTCCACTTTCGGCAGCATTACAATCTTGGCACCAAATGTGCTAACTGCAATTCCACCATACAATGCGTAACTGGAAATGGAGGCAACATCTCCGATCCTGAACGATCGATGCGAGAATCCAGGATATGCACGGCTTATTTTGGCCTTTTCCCACTGAAACAAGGGCCAGTATTAAAAATGGCACGCTATCCTCTGTTTCACTCCCTGCTTTTAAACGTCTCCGATGTTTCTCCCTGAGACAGGGCCTCACTTCCGTCAGCCGGGCTTTTCCACGGTATAATTTTCCTTGTTTGCTTTTGTCCAAATTAGAACTTTTTATTTCACCTCTAGGAAACGTTGATCCATTATCACATACGTATGGAAATATTATCACACATGCTGTGAGATACGTTGTTTTTATTTTCATCAATTCTTTAATAAACAAACGGTTATAGCTGGGATACCTTCTGAGTTCTCAAGTTTTTTGTTTCGTGTTTTCTTAAACTGCCGTCGCACGTCCGAAACCGCTCACTATGCAGTGTCATGACCGTCTCTCTTTTCTGGCAAACATAAATTTGGGGATTGTCATCAATTAGTCTCTCGGGGATTGCATGATTTCCCCAAAGGCTTTCACAGTCTACTTTGTGCACTGAGTATCTCTTCAAACTTCAGTGCATGTTTCTACCATTTGATTCTTTCTTATTTGGCAATCTAGCTTCCACAAGAGCATTTCACGCAAAGACTTGTCTTGTTCTCCACTGGCAGGTAATTTCACTCGGACAGAGAATCAATAGGCTCAACGTGGAAAGCTTATCGCTGGAAGGTCTGTTTGATTCCACGGATCTCTCCTTTCTCATTAGGGAAGAAAATACGCTGTGCTAAATACTATACTTCATTGACTATTCTCAGGTCAGAAAGCGCACTTTCGTCTTCTTGTCCTTCCGTCGCGGAGAGGATGATGGCAGCTGCCAAAAGTACATACTTGGAAGTTCATCCCAGCACAAACACACACACACACGCCCCCCCCACACACACACACACAAACACACTCACACACACACACGCACACGGTTTCCTAGGTAAAGATTTCTTCCCTGCCATTGCTTTACCTAAAATAAGGCAACTGTGAGGCCACTGTCCCAACCCGGTTACACTCCTATTATATGTGCCTATCATCCTGAGGAGTAATTTGATTCAGGTGTTCTGGAAGTCATGCTGTGGGCTGTGTCTGTTGAATTCCCAGCGATGCCAGGGGACACACCCTGTGACTCCTTCCTGAATTGAGTGCTGATATTTGATTGGCTTATCGCGCACCTGATGAGTAGGTGGGGTGTTCGCGGTTGGTGGGGGTGACTTACAGAAGGGCTGATGTGGCCAGAGAGCTCGTCATTTGAAGACTCTCTCGGAAGGGATAGCGTCTTTCTGCAACCTGTGGTCCCAGCAGACAAACCTTGTGATCCTTGTTCCAGTCGACATGGAGGACGACTCACTCTACTTGGGAGGTGAGTGGCAGTTCAACCACTTTTCAAAACTCACATCTTCTCGGCCAGATGCAGCTTTTGCTGAAATCCAGCGGACTTCTCTCCCTGAGAAGTCACCACTCTCATGTGAGACCCGTGTCGACCTCTGAGATGATTTGGCTCCTGTGGCAAGACAGCTTGCTCCCAGGGAGAAGCTTCCTCTGAGTAGCAGGAGACCTGCTGCGGTGGGGGCTGGGCTCCAGAATATGGGAAATACCTGCTACGTGAACGCTTCCTTGCAGTGCCTGACATACACACCGCCCCTTGCCAACTACATGCTGTCCCGGGAGCACTCTCAAACGTGTCATCGTCACAAGGGCTGCATGCTCTGTACTATGCAAGCTCACATCACACGGGCCCTCCACAATCCTGGCCACGTCATCCAGCCCTCACAGGCATTGGCTGCTGGCTTCCATAGAGGCAAGCAGGAAGATGCCCATGAATTTCTCATGTTCACTGTGGATGCCATGAAAAAGGCATGCCTTCCCAGGCACAAGCAGGTAGATCATCACTCTAAGGACACCACCCTCATCCACCAAATATTTGGAGGCTACTGGAGATCTCAAATCAAGTGTCTCCACTGCCACGGCATTTCAGACACTTTTGACCCTTACCTGGACATCGCCCTGGATATCCAGGCAGCTCAGAGTGTCCAGCAAGCTTTGGAACAGTTGGTGAAGCCCGAAGAACTCAATGGAGAGAATGCCTATCATTGTGGTGTTTGTCTCCAGAGGGCGCCGGCCTCCAAGACGTTAACTTTACACACCTCTGCCAAGGTCCTCATCCTTGTATTGAAGAGATTCTCCGATGTCACAGGCAACAAGATTGCCAAGAATGTGCAATATCCTGAGTGCCTTGACATGCAGCCATACATGTCTCAGCAGAACACAGGACCTCTTGTCTATGTCCTCTATGCTGTGCTGGTCCACGCTGAGTGGAGTTGTCACAACGGACATTACTTCTCTTATGTCAAAGCTCAAGAAGGCCAGTGGTATAAAATGGATGATGCCGAGGTCACCGCCGCTAGCATCACTTCTGTCCTGAGTCAACAGGCCTACGTCCTCTTTTACATCCAGAAGAGTGAATGGGAAAGACATAGTGAGAGTGTGTCAAGAGGCAGGGAACCAAGAGCCCTTGGCGCAGAAGACACAGACAGGCGAGCAACGCAAGGAGAGCTCAAGAGAGACCACCCCTGCCTCCAGGCCCCCGAGTTGGACGAGCACTTGGTGGAAAGAGCCACTCAGGAAAGCACCTTAGACCACTGGAAATTCCTTCAAGAGCAAAACAAAACGAAGCCTGAGTTCAACGTCAGAAAAGTCAAAGGTACCCTGCCTCCCGACGTACTTGTGATTCATCAATCAAAATACAAGTGTGGGATGAAGAACCATCATCCTGAACAGCAAAGCTCCCTGCTAAACCTCTCTTCGTCGACCCCGACACATCAGGAGTCCATGAACACTGGCACACTCGCTTCCCTGCGAGGGAGGGCCAGGAGATCCAAAGGGAAGAACAAACACAGCAAGAGGGCTCTGCTTGTGTGCCAGTGATCTCAGTGGAAGTACCGACCCACACGTAGGGGTGCACACACACACGCACACACACAGACACACACATAACTACACCCAGAAGCGCGCACGCAAACACACACACACCCACACAAACACGAACACCGTCAATCCTACATAAACTAATGAGGAGCCCAAGTTTCTGTCTCTACAACAGGGACAACTGGATAGTGATGGCTACATCTCAGGATGAGCCCGCATATGGGAAACATCAAGTTTTGGGGTCGTGAGTCTTCCGAACCTCTGGAGGGACTGTCTGAGTGTTTGTGTTCATGATAGGTGACATTCAGTGTGTATTTCTGAATATGACCTACCGACGTGTAGGTTTGCGTGTGAGGTAATTGCAGGGGACTCGGTTTCGTATTTTCTCTTGGGGTGTGTTTCATTCGTCAGTTGTTGGTCGGCATGAGAAGGTGAAATGTGGCTCATGTGGGACATCCGTGGATCATTCTCGCCACCTTGAATAGTGGAAACTGGAATGCATTTGGAAGAGAAGAACGGTGCTCTTCTTTCTTCCCCGGGCTCGCCGTTTTTACACTGGTTCCTGAATGGACCTCAGGCGCCCTGGGACTTGTGCTCTTGCTGGAACCCACATAACGCCGGAAGCGGACAGACCGACTTGCCTGTTTCACGGTGCCCGCTTCCCATGAGTCCAAACGGAAAATTTTCCCACGGGCATGTAAGTCATCTGGAAGTAAGCTGTATTGATAATAAAGGAAAGCAAACACAGGAGTGTGTGTATTCAACTGAAATAAATTCAGAAAGCCCTGAAATCAATCTCACTGGGTGTGTTTAAAAATGGCATTTGGGGAATTTCTGGGTCATTTGTCCAGCTGCGAAAGCTGCATCTCTGAAGCACAGTCCCTGTCCCGCAGTGAGACTTATTGATCCGACGTGGTGTTTCCGTGGAAATGATTGTGGGAAATGGCCCCTTCCTTTTCTCTATTTGCTGATTAGACTTCATGGTCCCTTTCTCGTCAGGTACAGTGATCAAAGTTGACCAGCCCCAGAGGAAAGCTGCCCAGGGCACAACTCAGGGCTCCGTAGAACCACAGAATCTTGGGCGCAACCCTGCTCAAGCACCCAAATGTGCATACGAACAGGGTCTCCGTGTGACGTGTGTGAAAACTACAGTGTGATGAGCATGACTGGCAGACAGCTTATCGATTGGGCTCCCCTCAAAATCGGTTATGAGCATTCAAGCACACCGATGCCCAGGTCCCGGCTGCAGGAATAAGACCCTCCAGGGTCTTGTGTGAAGCCTCGGCATCTGCATTGCTCATGCTTCTGGGGATCATTCTCCTGAAAATGGTGGCTCCTTTCTCCCTGTGGAGCATCTTTCTAAGCAGTGCTCTTTTCTTCCCCCAGGACACTTTACATCCGGCACAGGAAGCCTTCTGATGGAGCACACCTGGCCCATGAAAAGACAAGGGAAAGAAACGGGGCCAAAGGTCACAGTCCTCTCATCCCATCATCCTCCTTAAAATCATCCTAATTTCATGGGCCCTGAAGCCAGGGCTGTTTCTTTACACCTAGAGGCCTTGGCGCCGGGCCTCAATTCCGCCCTGTTCCTTACCGTCTAAGACATGTTGGGAAAATCCCTAGAGCCAGGATCTTCATTCCTGCTAAGCCAGACAGCCGGAAGACACACCCAAATTCTGTCCCTCTTACTTCAGGGAACATGTCCACTTTCGGCAGCATTACAATTTTGGCACCAAATGTGCTAACTGCAATTCCACCATACAATGCGTAACTGGAAATGGAGGCAACATCTCCGATCCTGAACGATCGATGCGAGAATCCAGGATATGCACGGCTTATTTTGGCCTTTTCCCACTGAAACAAGGGCCAGTATTAAAAATGGCACGCTATCCTCTGTTTCACTCCCTGCTTTTAAACGTCTCCGATGTTTCTCCCTGAGACAGGGCCTCACTTCCGTCAGCCGGGCTTTTCCACGGTATAATTTTCCTTGTTTGCTTTTGTCCAAATTAGAACTTTTTATTTCACCTCTAGGAAACGTTGATCCATTATCACATACGTATGGAAATATTATCACACATGCTGTGAGATACGTTGTTTTTATTTTCATCAATTCTTTAATAAACAAACGGTTATAGCTGGGATACCTTCTGAGTTCTCAAGTTTTTTGTTTCGTGTTTTCTTAAACTGCCGTCGCACGTCCGAAACCGCTCACTATGCAGTGTCATGACCGTCTCTCTTTTCTGGCAAACATAAATTTGGGGATTGTCATCAATTAGTCTCTCGGGGATTGCATGATTTCCCCAAAGGCTTTCACAGTCTACTTTGTGCACTGAGTATCTCTTCAAACTTCAGTGCATGTTTCTACCATTTCATGCTTTCTTATTTGGCAATCTAGCTTCCACAAGAGCATTTCATGCAAAGACTTGTCTTGTTCTCCACTGGCAGGTAATTTCACTCAGATAGAGAATCAATAGGCTCAACGTGGAAAGGTTATCGCTGGAAGGTCTGTTTGATTCCACGGATCTCTCCTTTCTCATTAGGGAAGAAAATACGCTGTGCTAAATACTATACTTCATTGACTATTCTCAGGTCAGAAAGCGCACTTTCGACTTCTTGTCTTTCCGTCGCTGAGAGGATGATGGCAGTTGCCAAAAGTACATACTTGGAAGTTCATCCCAGCACAAACACACACACACACGCGCCCCCCCCACACACACACAGACGAACACAATCACACACACACACTCACACGGTTTCCTACGTAAAGATTTCTTCCCTGCCATTGCTTTACCTAAAATAAGGCAACTGTGTGGCCACTGTCCCAACCCGGTTACACTCCTATTATATGTGCCTATCATCCTGAGGAGTAATTTGATTCAGGTGTTCTGGAAGTCATGCTGTGGGCTGTGTCTGTTGAATTCCCAGCGATGCAAGGGGACACACCCTGTGACTCCTTCCTGAATTGAGTGCTGATATTTGATTGGCTTATCGCGCACCTGATGAGTGGGTGGGGTGTTCGCGGTTGGTGGGGGTGACTTACAGAAGGGCTGATGCGGCCAGAGAGCTCGTCATTTGAAGACTCTCTCGGAAGGGATAGCGTCTTTCTGCAACCTGCGGTCCCAGCAGACAAACCTTGTGATCCTTGTTCCAGTCGACATGGAGGACGACTCACTCTACTTGGGAGGTGAGTGGCAGTTCAACCACTTTTCAAAACTCACATCTTCTCGGCCCGATGCAGCTTTTGCTGAAATCCAGCGGACTTCTCTCCCTGAGAAGTCACCACTCTCATGTGAGACCCGTGTCGACCTCTGTGATGATTTGGCTCCTGTGGCAAGACAGCTTGCTCCCAGGGAGAAGCTTCCTCTGAGTAGCAGGAGACCTGCTGCGGTGGGGGCTGGGCTCCAGAATATGGGAAATACCTGCTACGTGAACGCTTCCTTGCAGTGCCTGACATACACACCGCCCCTTGCCAACTACATGCTGTCCCGGGAGCACTCTCAAACGTGTCATCGTCACAAGGGCTGCATGCTCTGTACGATGCAAGCTCACATCACACGGGCCCTCCACAATCCTGGCCACGTCATCCAGCCCTCACAGGCATTGGCTGCTGGCTTCCATAGAGGCAAGCAGGAAGATGCCCATGAATTTCTCATGTTCACTGTGGATGCCATGAAAAAGGCATGCCTTCCCGGGCACAAGCAGGTAGATCATCACTCTAAGGACACCACCCTCATCCACCAAATATTTGGAGGCTACTGGAGATCTCAAATCAAGTGTCTCCACTGCCACGGCATTTCAGACACTTTTGACCCTTACCTGGACATCGCCCTGGATATCCAGGCAGCTCAGAGTGTCCAGCAAGCTTTGGAACAGTTGGTGAAGCCCGAAGAACTCAATGGAGAGAATGCCTATCATTGTGGTGTTTGTCTCCAGAGGGCGCCGGCCTCCAAGACGTTAACTTTACACACCTCTGCCAAGGTCCTCATCCTTGTATTGAAGAGATTCTCCGATGTGACAGGCAACAAGATTGCCAAGAATGTGCAATATCCTGAGTGCCTTGACATGCAGCCATACATGTCTCAGCAGAACACAGGACCTCTTGTCTATGTCCTCTATGCTGTGCTGGTCCACGCTGGGTGGAGTTGTCACAACGGACATTACTTCTCTTATGTCAAAGCTCAAGAAGGCCAATGGTATAAAATGGATGATGCCGAGGTCACCGCCGCTAGCATCACTTCTGTCCTGAGTCAACAGGCCTACGTCCTCTTTTACATCCAGAAGAGTGAATGGGAAAGACACAGTGAGAGTGTGTCAAGAGGCAGGGAACCAAGAGCCCTTGGCGCAGAAGACACAGACAGGCGAGCAACGCAAGGAGAGCTCAAGAGAGACCACCCCTGCCTCCAGGCCCCCGAGTTGGACGAGCACTTGGTGGAAAGAGCCACTCAGGAAAGCACCTTAGACCACTGGAAATTCCTTCAAGAGCAAAACAAAACGAAGCCTGAGTTCAACGTCAGAAAAGTCGAAGGTACCCTGCCTCCCGACGTACTTGTGATTCATCAATCAAAATACAAGTGTGGGATGAAGAACCATCATCCTGAACAGCAAAGCTCCCTGCTAAACCTCTCTTCGTCGACCCCGACACATCAGGAGTCCATGAACACTGGCACACTCGCTTCCCTGCGAGGGAGGGCCAGGAGATCCAAAGGGAAGAACAAACACAGCAAGAGGGCTCTGCTTGTGTGCCAGTGATCTCAGTGGAAGTACCGACCCACACGTAGGGGTGCACACACACACGCACACACACAGACACACACATAACTACACCCAGAAGCGCGCACGCAAACACACACACACCCACACAAACACGAACACCGTCAATCCTACATAAACTAATGAGGAGCCCAAGTTTCTGTCTCTACAACAGGGACAACTGGATAGTGATGGCTACATCTCAGGATGAGCCCGCATATGGGAAACATCAAGTTTTGGGGTCGTGAGTCTTCCGAACCTCTGGAGGGACTGTCTGAGTGTTTGTGTTCATGATAGGTGACATTCAGTGTGTATTTCTGAATATGACCTACCGACGTGTAGGTTTGCGTGTGAGGTAATTGCAGGGGACTCGGTTTCGTATTTTCTCTTGGGGTGTGTTTCATTCGTCAGTTGTTGGTCGGCATGAGAAGGTGAAAGGTGGCTCATGTGGGACATCCGTGGATCATTCTCGCCACCTTGAATAGTGGAAACTGGAATGCATTTGGAAGAGAAGAACGGTGCTCTTCTTTCTTCCCCGGGCTCGCCGTTTTTACACTGGTTCCTGAATGGACCTCAGGCGCCCTGGGACTTGTGCTCTTGCTGGAACCCACATAACGCCGGAAGCGGACAGACCGACTTGCCTGTTTCACGGTGCCCGCTTCCCATGAGTCCAAACGGAAAATTTTCCCACGGGCATGTAAGTCATCTGGAAGTAAGCTGTATTGATAATAAAGGAAAGCAAACACAGGAGTGTGTGTATTCAACTGAAATAAATTCAGAAAGCCCTGAAATCAATCTCACTGGGTGTGTTTAAAAATGGCATTTGGGGAATTTCTGGGTCATTTGTCCAGCTGCGAAAGCTGCATCTCTGAAGCACAGTCCCTGTCCCGCAGTGAGACTTATTGATCCGACGTGGTGTTTCCGTGGAAATGATTGTGGGAAATGGCCCCTTCCTTTTCTCTATTTGCTGATTAGACTTCATGGTCCCTTTCTCGTCAGGTATAGTGATCAAAGTTGACCAACCCCAGAGGAAAGCTGCCCAGGGCACAACTCAGAGCTCCGTAGAACCACAGAATCTTGGGCGCAACCCTGCTCAAGCACCCAAATGTGCATACGAACAGGGTCTCCGTGTGACGTGTGTGAAAACTACAGTGTGATGAGCATGACTGGCAGACAGCTTATCGATTGGGCTCCCCTCAAAATCGGTTATGAGCATTCAAGCACACCGATGCCCAGGTCCCGGCTGCAGGAATAAGACCCTCCAGGGTCTTGTGTGAAGCCTCGGCATCTGCATTGCTCATGCTTCTGGGGATCATTCTCCTGAAAATGGTGGCTCCTTTCTCCCTGTGGAGCATCTTTCTAAGCAGTGCTCTTTTCTTCCCCCAGGACACTTTACATCCGGCACAGGAAGCCTTCTGATGGAGCACACCTGGCCCATGAAAAGACAAGGGAAAGAAACGGGGCCAAAGGTCACAGTCCTCTCATCCCATCATCCTCCTTAAAATCATCCTAATTTCATGGGCCCTGAAGCCAGGGCTGTTTCTTTACACCTAGAGGCCTTGGCGCCGGGCCTCAATTCCGCCCTGTTCCTTACCGTCTAAGACATGTTGGGAAAATCCCTAGAGCCAGGATCTTCATTCCTGCTAAGCCAGACAGCCGGAAGACACACCCAAATTCTGTCCCTCTTACTTCAGGGAACATGTCCACTTTCGGCAGCATTACAATCTTGGCACCAAATGTGCTAACTGCAATTCCACCATACAATGCGTAACTGGAAATGGAGGCAACATCTCCGATCCTGAACGATCGATGCGAGAATCCAGGATATGCACGGCTTATTTTGGCCTTTTCCCACTGAAACAAGGGCCAGTATTAAAAATGGCACGCTATCCTCTGTTTCACTCCCTGCTTTTAAACGTCTCCGATGTTTCTCCCTGAGACAGGGCCTCACTTCCGTCAGCCGGGCTTTTCTACGGTATAATTTTCCTTGTTTGCTTTTGTCCAAATTAGAACTTTTTATTTCATCTCTAGGAAACGTTGATCCATTATCACATACGTATGGAAATATTATCACACATGCTGTGAGATACGTTGTTTTTATTTTCATCAATTCTTTAATAAACAAAAGGGTATAGCTGGGATACCTTCTGAGTTCTCAAGTTTTTTGTTTCGTGTTTTCTTAAACTGCCGTCGCACGTCCGAAACCGCTCACTATGCAGTGTCATGACCGTCTCTCTTTTCTGGCAAACATAAATTTGGGGATTGTCATCAATTAGTCTCTCGGGGATTGCATGATTTCCCCAAAGGCTTTCACAGTCTACTTTGTGCACTGAGTATCTCTTCAAACTTCAGTGCATGTTTCTACCATTTCATGCTTTCTTATTTGGCAATCTAGCTTCCACAAGAGCATTTCATGCAAAGACTTGTCTTGTTCTCCACTGGCAGGTAATTTCACTCAGATAGAGAATCAATAGGCTCAACGTGGAAAGGTTATCGCTGGAAGGTCTGTTTGATTCCACGGATCTCTCCTTTCTCATTAGGGAAGAAAATACGCTGTGCTAAATACTATACTTCATTGACTATTCTCAGGTCAGAAAGCGCACTTTCGACTTCTTGTCTTTCCGTCGCTGAGAGGATGATGGCAGCTGCCAAAAGTACATACTTGGAAGTTCATCGCAGAAAAAACACACACACACACGCGCCCCCCCCACACACACACACACGAACACAATCACACACACACACACTCACACGGTTTCCTACGTAAAGATTTCTTCCCTGCCATTGCTTTACCTAAAATAAGGCAACTGTGTGGCCACTGTCCCAACCCGGTTACACTCCTATTATATGTGCCTATCATCCTGAGGAGTAATTTGATTCAGGTGTTCTGGAAGTCATGCTGTGGGCTGTGTCTGTTGAATTCCCAGCGATGCAAGGGGACACACCCTGTGACTCCTTCCTGAATTGAGTGCTGATATTTGATTGGCTTATCGCGCACCTGATGAGTGGGTGTGGTGTTCGCGGTTGGAGGGGGTGACTTACAGAAGGGCTGATGCGGCCAGAGAGCTCGTCATTTGAAGACTCTCTCGGAAGGGATAGCGTCTTTCTGCAACCTGCGGTCCCAGCAGAAAAACCTTGTGATCCTTGTTCCAGTCGACATGGAGGACGACTCACTCTACTTGGGAGGTGAGTGGCAGTTCAACCACTTTTCAAAACTCACATCTTCTCGGCCCGATGCAGCTTTTGCTGAAATCCAGCGGACTTCTCTCCCTGAGAAGTCACCACTCTCATGTGAGACCCGTGTCGACCTCTGTGATGATTTGGCTCCTGTGGCAAGACAGCTTGCTCCCAGGGAGAAGCTTCCTCTGAGTAGCAGGAGACCTGCTGCGGTGGGGGCTGGGCTCCAGAATATGGGAAATACCTGCTACGTGAACGCTTCCTTGCAGTGCCTGACATACACACCGCCCCTTGCCAACTACATGCTGTCCCGGGAGCACTCTCAAACGTGTCATCGTCACAAGGGCTGTATGCTCTGTACGATGCAAGCTCACATCACACGGGCCCTCCACAATCCTGGCCACGTCATCCAGCCCTCACAGGCATTGGCTGCTGGCTTCCATAGAGGCAAGCAGGAAGATGCCCATGAATTTCTCATGTTCACTGTGGATGCCATGAAAAAGGCATGCCTTCCCGGGCACAAGCAGGTGGATCATCACTCTAAGGACACCACCCTCATCCACCAAATATTTGGAGGCTACTGGAGATCTCAAATCAAGTGTCTCCACTGCCACGGCATTTCAGACACTTTTGACCCTTACCTGGACATCGCCCTGGATATCCAGGCAGCTCAGAGTGTCCAGCAAGCTTTGGAACAGTTGGTGAAGCCCGAAGAACTCAATGGAGAGAATGCCTATCATTGTGGTGTTTGTCTCCAGAGGGCGCCGGCCTCCAAGACGTTAACTTTACACACCTCTGCCAAGGTCCTCATCCTTGTATTGAAGAGATTCTCCGATGTCACAGGCAACAAGATTGCCAAGAATGTGCAATATCCTGAGTGCCTTGACATGCAGCCATACATGTCTCAGACGAACACAGGACCTCTCGTCTATGTCCTCTATGCTGTGCTGGTCCACGCTGGGTGGAGTTGTCACAACGGACATTACTTCTCTTATGTCAAAGCTCAAGAAGGCCAGTGGTATAAAATGGATGATGCCGAGGTCACCGCCTCTAGCATCACTTCTGTCCTGAGTCAACAGGCCTACGTCCTCTTTTACATCCAGAAGAGTGAATGGGAAAGACACAGTGAGAGTGTGTCAAGAGGCAGGGAACCAAGAGCCCTTGGCGCAGAAGACACAGACAGGCGAGCAAAGCAAGGAGAGCTCAAGAGAGACCACCCCTGCCTCCAGGCCCCCGAGTTGGACGAGCACTTGGTGGAAAGAGCCACTCAGGAAAGCACCTTAGACCACTGGAAATTCCTTCAAGAGCAAAACAAAACGAAGCCTGAGTTCAACGTCAGAAAAGTCGAAGGTACCCTGCCTCCCGACGTACTTGTGATTCATCAATCAAAATACAAGTGTGGGATGAAGAACCATCATCCTGAACAGCAAAGCTCCCTGCTAAACCTCTCTTCGACGACCCCGACACATCAGGAGTCCATGAACACTGGCACACTCGCTTCCCTGCGAGGGAGGGCCAGGAGATCCAAAGGGAAGAACAAACACAGCAAGAGGGCTCTGCTTGTGTGCCAGTGATCTCAGTGGAAGTACCGACCCACACGTAGGGGTGCACACACACACGCACACACACAGACACACACATAACTACACCCAGAAGCGCGCACGCAAACACACACACACCCACACAAACACGAACACCGTCAATCCTACATAAACTAATGAGGAGCCCAAGTTTCTGTCTCTACAACAGGGACAACTGGATAGTGATGGCTACATCTCAGGATGAGCCCGCATATGGGAAACATCAAGTTTTGGGGTCGTGAGTCTTCCGAACCTCTGGTGGGACTGTCTGAGTGTTTGTGTTCATGATAGGTGACATTCAGTGTGTATTTCTGAATATGACCTACCGACGTGTAGGTTTGCGTGTGAGGTAATTGCAGGGGACTCGGTTTCGTATTTTCTCTTGGGGTGTGTTTCATTCGTCAGTTGTTGGTCGGCATGAGAAGGTGAAAGGTGGCTCATGTGGGACATCCGTGGATCATTCTCGCCACCTTGAATAGTGGAAACTGGAATGCATTTGGAAGAGAAGAACGGTGCTCTTCTTTCTTCCCCGGGCTCGCCGTTTTTACACTGGTTCCTGAATGGACCTCAGGCGCCCTGGGACTTGTGCTCTTGCTGGAACCCACATAACGCCGGAAGCGGACAGACCGACTTGCCTGTTTCACGATGCCCGCTTCCCATGAGTCCAAACGGAAAATTTTCCCACGGGCATGTAAGTCATCTGGAAGTAAGCTGTATTGATAATAAAGGAAAGCAAACACAGGAGTGTGTGTATTCAACTGAAATAAATTCAGAAAGCCCTGCAATCAATCTCACTGGGTGTGTTTAAAAATGGCATTTGGGGAATTTCTGGGTCATTTGTCCAGCTGCGAAAGCTGCATCTCTGAAGCACAGTCCCTGTCCCGCAGTGAGACTTATTTATCCGACGTGGTGTTTCCGTGGAAATGATTGTGGGAAATGGCCCCTTCCTTTTCTCTATTTGCTGATTAGACTTCATGGTCCCTTTCTCGTCAGGTATAGTGATCAAAGTTGACCAACCCAGAGGAAAGCTGCCCAGGGCACAACTCAGGGCTCCGTAGAACCACAGAATCTTGGGCGCAACCCTGCTCAAGCACCCAAATGTGCATACGAACAGGGTCTCCGTGTGACGTGTGTGAAAACTACAGTGTGATGAGCATGACTGGCAGACAGCTTATCGATTGGGCTCCCCTCAAAATCGGTTATGAGCATTCAAGCACACCGATGCCCAGGTCCCGGCTGCAGGAATAAGACCCTCCAGGGTCTTGTGTGAAGCCTCGGCATCTGCATTGCTCATGCTTCTGGGGATCATTCTCCTGAAAATGGTGGCTCCTTTCTCCCTGTGGAGCATCTTTCTAAGCAGTGCTCTTTTCTTCCCCCAGGACACTTTACATCCGGCACAGGAAGCCTTCTGATGGAGCACACCTGGCCCATGAAAAGACAAGGGAAAGAAACGGGGCCAAAGGTCACAGTCCTCTCATCCCATCATCCTCCTTAAAATCATCCTAATTTCATGGGCCCTGAAGCCAGGGCTGTTTCTTTACACCTAGAGGCCTTGGCGCCGGGCCTCAATTCCGCCCTGTTCCTTACCGTCTAAGACATGTTGGGAAAATCCCTAGAGCCAGGATCTTCATTCCTGCTAAGCCAGACAGCCGGAAGACACACCCAAATTCTGTCCCTCTTACTTCAGGGAACATGTCCACTTTCGGCAGCATTACAATTTTGGCACCAAATGTGCTAACTGCAATTCCACCATACAATGCGTAACTGGAAATGGAGGCAACATCTCCGATCCTGAACGATCGATGCGAGAATCCAGGATATGCACGGCTTATTTTGGCCTTTTCCCACTGAAACAAGGGCCAGTATTAAAAATGGCACGCTATCCTCTGTTTCACTCCCTGCTTTTAAACGTCTCCGATGTTTCTCCCTGAGACAGGGCCTCACTTCCGTCAGCCGGGCTTTTCCACGGTATAATTTTCCTTGTTTGCTTTTGTCCAAATTAGAACTTTTTATTTCACCTCTAGGAAACGTTGATCCATTATCACATACGTATGGAAATATTATCACACATGCTGTGAGATACGTTGTTTTTATTTTCATCAATTCTTTAATAAACAAACGGTTATAGCTGGGATACCTTCTGAGTTCTCAAGTTTTTTGTTTCGTGTTTTCTTAAACTGCCGTCGCACGTCCGAAACCGCTCACTATGCAGTGTCATGACCGTCTCTCTTTTCTGGCAAACATAAATTTGGGGATTGTCATCAATTAGTCTCTCGGGGATTGCATGATTTCCCCAAAGGCTTTCACAGTCTACTTTGTGCACTGAGTATCTCTTCAAACTTCAGTGCATGTTTCTACCATTTCATGCTTTCTTATTTGGCAATCTAGCTTCCACAAGAGCATTTCATGCAAAGACTTGTCTTGTTCTCCACTGGCAGGTAATTTCACTCAGATAGAGAATCAATAGGCTCAACGTGGAAAGGTTATCGCTGGAAGGTCTGTTTGATTCCACGGATCTCTCCTTTCTCACTAGGGAAGAAAATACGCTGTGCTAAATACTATACTTCATTGACTATTCTCAGGTCAGAAAGCGCACTTTCGACTTCTTGTCTTTCCGTCGCTGAGAGGATGATGGCAGTTGCCAAAAGTACATACTTGGAAGTTCATCCCAGCACAAACACACACACACACGCGCCCCCCCCCACACACACACACACGAACACAATCACACACACACACTCACACGGTTTCCTACGTAAAGATTTCTTCCCTGCCATTGCTTTACCTAAAATAAGGCAACTGTGTGGCCACTGTCCCAACCCGGTTACACTCCTATTATATGTGCCTATCATCCTGAGGAGTAATTTGATTCAGGTGTTCTGGAAGTCATGCTGTGGGCTGTGTCTGTTGAATTCCCAGCGATGCAAGGGGACACACCCTGTGACTCCTTCCTGAATTGAGTGCTGATATTTGATTGGCTTATCGCGCACCTGATGAGTGGGTGGGGTGTTCGCGGTTGGTGGGGTTGACTTACAGAAGGGCTGATGCGCCAGAGAGCTCGTCATTTGAAGACTCTCTCGGAAGGGATAGCGTCTTTCTGCAACCTGCGGTCCCAGCAGAAAAACCTTGTGATCCTTGTTCCAGTCGACATGGAGGAAGACTCACTCTACTTGGGAGGTGAGTGGCAGTTCAACCACTTTTCAAAACTCACATCTTCTCGGCCCGATGCAGCTTTTGCTGAAATCCAGCGGACTTCTCTCCCTGAGAAGTCACCACTCTCATGTGAGACCCGTGTCGACCTCTGTGATGATTTGGCTCCTGTGGCAAGACAGCTTGCTCCCAGGGAGAAGCTTCCTCTGAGTAGCAGGAGACCTGCTGCGGTGGGGGCTGGGCTCCAGAATATGGGAAATACCTGCTACGTGAACGCTTCCTTGCAGTGCCTGACATACACACCGCCCCTTGCCAACTACATGCTGTCCCGGGAGCACTCTCAAACGTGTCATCGTCACAAGGGCTGTATGCTCTGTACGATGCAAGCTCACATCACACGGGCCCTCCACAATCCTGGCCACGTCATCCAGCCCTCACAGGCATTGGCTGCTGGCTTCCATAGAGGCAAGCAGGAAGATGCCCATGAATTTCTCATGTTCACTGTGGATGCCATGAAAAAGGCATGCCTTCCCGGGCACAAGCAGGTGGATCATCACTCTAAGGACACCACCCTCATCCACCAAATATTTGGAGGCTACTGGAGATCTCAAATCAAGTGTCTCCACTGCCACGGCATTTCAGACACTTTTGACCCTTACCTGGACATCGCCCTGGATATCCAGGCAGCTCAGAGTGTCCAGCAAGCTTTGGAACAGTTGGTGAAGCCCGAAGAACTCAATGGAGAGAATGCCTATCATTGTGGTGTTTGTCTCCAGAGGGCGCCGGCCTCCAAGACGTTAACTTTACACACCTCTGCCAAGGTCCTCATCCTTGTATTGAAGAGATTCTCCGATGTCACAGGCAACAAGATTGCCAAGAATGTGCAATATCCTGAGTGCCTTGACATGCAGCCATACATGTCTCAGACGAACACAGGACCTCTCGTCTATGTCCTCTATGCTGTGCTGGTCCACGCTGGGTGGAGTTGTCACAACGGACATTACTTCTCTTATGTCAAAGCTCAAGAAGGCCAGTGGTATAAAATGGATGATGCCGAGGTCACCGCCTCTAGCATCACTTCTGTCCTGAGTCAACAGGCCTACGTCCTCTTTTACATCCAGAAGAGTGAATGGGAAAGACACAGTGAGAGTGTGTCAAGAGGCAGAGAACCAAGAGCCCTTGGCGCAGAAGACACAGACAGGCGAGCAACGCAAGGAGAGCTCAAGAGAGACCACCCCTGCCTCCAGGCCCCCGAGTTGGACGAGCACTTGGTGGAAAGAGCCACTCAGGAAAGCACCTTAGACCACTGGAAATTCCTTCAAGAGCAAAACAAAACGAAGCCTGAGTTCAACGTCAGAAAAGTCGAAGGTACCCTGCCTCCCGACGTACTTGTGATTCATCAATCAAAATACAAGTGTGGGATGAAGAACCATCATCCTGAACAGCAAAGCTCCCTGCTAAAACTCTCTTCGACGACCCCGACACATCAGGAGTCCATGAACACTGGCACACTCGCTTCCCTGCGAGGGAGGGCCAGGAGATCCAAAGGGAAGAACAAACACAGCAAGAGGGCTCTGCTTGTGTGCCAGTGATCTCAGTGGAAGTACCGACCCACACGTAGGGGTGCACACACACACGCACACACACAGACACACACATAACTACACCCAGAAGCGCGCACGCAAACACACACACACCCACACAAACACGAACACCGTCAATCCTACATAAACTAATGAGGAGCCCAACTTTCTGTCTCTACAACAGGGACAACTGGATAGTGATGGCTACATCTCAGGATGAGCCCGCATATGGGAAACATCAAGTTTTGGGGTCGTGAGTCTTCCGAACCTCTGGAGGGACTGTCTGAGTGTTTGTGTTCATGATAGGTGACATTCAGTGTGTATTTCTGAATATGACCTACCGACGCGTAGGTTTGCGTGTGAGGTAATTGCAGGGGACTCGGTTTCGTATTTTCTCTTGGGGTGTGTTTCATTCGTCAGTTGTTGGTCGGCATGAGAAGGTGAAAGGTGGCTCATGTGGGACATCCGTGGATCATTCTCGCCACCTTGAATAGTGGAAACTGGAATGCATTTGGAAGAGAAGAACGGTGCTCTTCTTTCTTCCCCGGGCTCGCCGTTTTTACACTGGTTCCTGAATGGACCTCAGGCGCCCTGGGACTTGTGCTCTTGCTGGAACCCACATAACGCCGGAAGCGGACAGACCGACTTGCCTGTTTCACGGTGCCCGCTTCCCATGAGTCGAAACGGAAAATTTTCCCACGGGCATGTAAGTCATCTGGAAGTAAGCTGTATTGATAATAAAGGAAAGCAAACACAGGAGTGTGTGTATTCAACTGAAATAAATTCAGAAAGCCCTGAAATCAATCTCACTGGGTGTGTTTAAAAATGGCATTTGGGGAATTTCTGGGTCATTTGTCCAGCTGCGAAAGCTGCATCTCTGAAGCACAGTCCCTGTCCCGCAGTGAGACTTATTGATCCGACGTGGTGTTTCCGTGGAAATGATTGTGGGAAATGGCCCCTTCCTTTTCTCTATTTGCTGATTAGACTTCATGGTCCCTTTCTCGTCAGGTACAGTGATCAAAGTTGACCAACCCCAGAGGAAAGCTGCCCAGGGCACAACTCAGGGCTCCGTAGAACCACAGAATCTTGGGCGCAACCCTGCTCAAGCACCCAAATGTGCATACGAACAGGGTCTCCGTGTGACGTGTGTGAAAACTACAGTGTGATGAGCATGACTGGCAGACAGCTTATCGATTGGGCTCCCCTCAAAATCGGTTATGAGCATTCAAGCACACCGATGCCCAGGTCCCGGCTGCAGGAATAAGACCCTCCAGGGTCTTGTGTGAAGCCTCGGCATCTGCATTGCTCATGCTTCTGGGGATCATTCTCCTGAAAATGGTGGCTCCTTTCTCCCTGTGGAGCATCTTTCTAAGCAGTGCTCTTTTCTTCCCCCAGGACACTTTACATCCGGCACAGGAAGCCTTCTGATGGAGCACACCTGGCCCATGAAAAGACAAGGGAAAGAAACGGGGCCAAAGGTCACAGTCCTCTCATCCCATCATCCTCCTTAAAATCATCCTAATTTCATGGGCCCTGAAGCCAGGGCTGTTTCTTTACACCTAGAGGCCTTGGCGCCGGGCCTCAATTCCGCCCTGTTCCTTACCGTCTAAGACATGTTGGGAAAATCCCTAGAGCCAGGATCTTCATTCCTGCTAAGCCAGACAGCCGGAAGACACACCCAAATTCTGTCCCTCTTACTTCAGGGAACATGTCCACTTTCGGCAGCATTACAATTTTGGCACCAAATGTGCTAACTGCAATTCCACCATACAATGCGTAACTGGAAATGGAGGCAACATCTCCGATCCTGAACGATCGATGCGAGAATCCAGGATATGCACGGCTTATTTTGGCCTTTTCCCACTGAAACAAGGGCCAGTATTAAAAATGGCACGCTATCCTCTGTTTCACTCCCTGCTTTTAAACGTCTCCGATGTTTCTCCCTGAGACAGGGCCTCACTTCCGTCAGCCGGGCTTTTCTACGGTATAATTTTCCTTGTTTGCTTTTGTCCAAATTAGAACTTTTTATTTCATCTCTAGGAAACGTTGATCCATTATCACATACGTATGGAAATATTATCACACATGCTGTGAGATACGTTGTTTTTATTTTCATCAATTCTTTAATAAACAAAAGGGTATAGCTGGGATACCTTCTGAGTTCTCAAGTTTTTTGTTTCGTGTTTTCTTAAACTGCCGTCGCACGTCCGAAACCGCTCACTATGCAGTGTCATGACCGTCTCTCTTTTCTGGCAAACATAAATTTGGGGATTGTCATCAATTAGTCTCTCGGGGATTGCATGATTTCCCCAAAGGCTTTCACAGTCTACTTTGTGCACTGAGTATCTCTTCAAACTTCAGTGCATGTTTCTACCATTTGATTCTTTCTTATTTGGCAATCTAGCTTCCACAAGAGCATTTCATGCAAAGACTTGTCTTGTTCTCCCCTGGCAGGTAATTTCACTCGGACAGAGAATCAATAGGCTCAACGTGGAAAGGTTATCGCTGGAAGGTCTGTTTGATTCCACGGATCTCTCCTTTCTCACTAGGGAAGAAAATACGCTGTGCTAAATACTATACTTCATTGACTATTCTCAGGTCAGAAAGCGCACTTTCGACTTCTTGTCCTTCCGTCGCTGAGAGGATGATGGCAGCTGCCAAAAGTACCTACTTGGAGGTTCATCCCAGCACAAACACACACACACACACGCCCCCCCCCACACACACACAAACACACTCACACACACACACGCACACGGTTTCCTAGGTAAAGATTTCTTCCCTGCCATTGCTTTACCTAAAATAAGGCAACTGTGAGGCCACTGTCCCAACCCGGTTACACTCCTATTATATGTGCCTATCATCCTGAGGAGTAATTTGATTCAGGTGTTCTGGAAGTCATGCTGTGGGCTGTGTCTGTTGAATTCCCAGCGATGCCAGGGGACACACCCTGTGACTCCTTCCTGAATTGAGTGCTGTTATTTGATTGGCTTATCGCGCACCTGATGAGTGGGTGGGGTGTTCGCGGTTGGTGGGGGTGACTTATAGAAGGGCTGATGCGGCCAGAGAGCTCGTCATTTGAAGACTCTCTCGGAAGGGATAGCGTCTTTCTGCAACCTGCGGTCCCAGCAGAAAAACCTTGTGATCCTCGTTCCAGTCGACATGGAGGACGACTCACTCTACTTGGGAGGTGAGTGGCAGTTCAACCACTTTTCAAAACTCACATCTTCTCGGCCCGATGCAGCTTTTGCTGAAATCCAGCGGACTTCTCTCCCTGAGAAGTCACCACTCTCATGTGAGACCCGTGTCGACCTCTGTGATGATTTGGCTCCTGTGGCAAGACAGCTTGCTCCCAGGGAGAAGCTTCCTCTGAGTAGCAGGAGACCTGCTGCGGTGGGGGCTGGGCTCCAGAATATGGGAAATACCTGCTACGTGAACGCTTCCTTGCAGTGCCTGACATACACACCGCCCCTTGCCAACTACATGCTGTCCCGGGAGCACTCTCAAACGTGTCATCGTCACAAGGGCTGCATGCTCTGTACGATGCAAGCTCACATCACACGGGCCCTCCACAATCCTGGCCACGTCATCCAGCCCTCACAGGCATTGGCTGCTGGCTTCCATAGAGGCAAGCAGGAAGATGCCCATGAATTTCTCATGTTCACTGTGGATGCCATGAAAAAGGCATGCCTTCCCGGGCACAAGCAGGTGGATCATCACTCTAAGGACACCACCCTCATCCACCAAATATTTGGAGGCTACTGGAGATCTCAAATCAAGTGTCTCCACTGCCACGGCATTTCAGACACTTTTGACCCTTACCTGGACATCGCCCTGGATATCCAGGCAGCTCAGAGTGTCCAGCAAGCTTTGGAACAGTTGGTGAAGCCCGAAGAACTCAATGGAGAGAATGCCTATCATTGTGGTGTTTGTCTCCAGAGGGCGCCGGCCTCCAAGACGTTAACTTTACACACCTCTGCCAAGGTCCTCATCCTTGTATTGAAGAGATTCTCCGATGTCACAGGCAACAAGATTGCCAAGAATGTGCAATATCCTGAGTGCCTTGACATGCAGCCATACATGTCTCAGCCGAACACAGGACCTCTCGTCTATGTCCTCTATGCTGTGCTGGTCCACGCTGGGTGGAGTTGTCACAACGGACATTACTTCTCTTATGTCAAAGCTCAAGAAGGCCAGTGGTATAAAATGGATGATGCCGAGGTCACCGCCTCTAGCATCACTTCTGTCCTGAGTCAACAGGCCTACGTCCTCTTTTACATCCAGAAGAGTGAATGGGAAAGACACAGTGAGAGTGTGTCAAGAGGCAGAGAACCAAGAGCCCTTGGCGCAGAAGACACAGACAGGCGAGCAACGCAAGGAGAGCTCAAGAGAGACCACCCCTGCCTCCAGGCCCCCGAGTTGGACGAGCACTTGGTGGAAAGAGCCACTCAGGAAAGCACCTTAGACCACTGGAAATTCCTTCAAGAGCAAAACAAAACGAAGCCTGAGTTCAACGTCAGAAAAGTCGAAGGTACCCTGCCTCCCGACGTACTTGTGATTCATCAATCAAAATACAAGTGTGGGATGAAGAACCATCATCCTGAACAGCAAAGCTCCCTGCTAAACCTCTCTTCGACGACCCCGACACATCAGGAGTCCATGAACACTGGCACACTCGCTTCCCTGCGAGGGAGGGCCAGGAGATCCAAAGGGAAGAACAAACACAGCAAGAGGGCTCTGCTTGTGTGCCAGTGATCTCAGTGGAAGTACCGACCCACACGTAGGGGTGCACACACACACGCACACACACAGACACACACATAACTACACCCAGAAGCGCGCACGCAAACACACACACACCCACACAAACACGAACACCGTCAATCCTACATAAACTAATGAGGAGCCCAAGTTTCTGTCTCTACAACAGGGACAACTGGATAGTGATGGCTACATCTCAGGATGAGCCCGCATATGGGAAACATCAAGTTTTGGGGTCGTGAGTCTTCCGAACCTCTGGTGGGACTGTCTGAGTGTTTGTGTTCATGATAGGTGACATTCAGTGTGTATTTCTGAATATGACCTACCGACGTGTAGGTTTGCGTGTGAGGTAATTGCAGGGGACTCGGTTTCGTATTTTCTCTTGGGGTGTGTTTCATTCGTCAGTTGTTGGTCGGCATGAGAAGGTGAAAGGTGGCTCATGTGGGACATCCGTGGATCATTCTCGCCACCTTGAATAGTGGAAACTGGAATGCATTTGGAAGAGAAGAACGGTGCTCTTTTTTCTTCCCCGGGCTCGCCGTTTTTACACTGGTTCCTGAATGGACCTCAGGCGCCCTGGGACTTGTGCTCTTGCTGGAACCCACATAACGCCGGAAGAGGACAGACCGACTTGCCTGTTTCACGGTGCCCGCTTCCCATGAGTCCAAACGGAAAATTTTCCCACGGGCATGTAAGTCATCTGGAAGTAAGCTGTATTGATAATAAAGGAAAGCAAACACAGGAGTGTGTGTATTCAACTGAAATAAATTCAGAAAGCCCTGAAATCAATCTCACTGGGTGTGTTTAAAAATGGCATTTGGGGAATTTCTGGGTCATTTGTCCAGCTGCGAAAGCTGCATCTCTGAAGCACAGTCCCTGTCCCGCAGTGAGACTTATTGATCCGACGTGGTGTTTCCGTGGAAATGATTGTGGGAAATGGCCCCTTCCTTTTCTCTATTTGCTGATTAGACTTCATGGTCCCTTTCTCGTCAGGTACAGTGATCAAAGTTGACCAACCCCAGAGGAAAGCTGCCCAGGGCACAACTCAGGGCTCCGTAGAACCACAGAATCTTGGGCGCAACCCTGCTCAAGCACCCAAATGTGCATACGAACAGGGTCTCCGTGTGACGTGTGTGAAAACTACAGTGTGATGAGCATGACTGGCAGACAGCTTATCGATTGGGCTCCCCTCAAAATCGGTTATGAGCATTCAAGCACACCGATGCCCAGGTCCCGGCTGCAGGAATAAGACCCTCCAGGGTCTTGTGTGAAGCCTCGGCATCTGCATTGCTCATGCTTCTGGGGATCATTCTCCTGAAAATGGTGGCTCCTTTCTCCCTGTGGAGCATCTTTCTAAGCAGTGCTCTTTTCTTCCCCCAGGACACTTTACATCCGGCACAGGAAGCCTTCTGATGGAGCACACCTGGCCCATGAAAAGACAAGGGAAAGAAACGGGGCCAAAGGTCACAGTCCTCTCATCCCATCATCCTCCTTAAAATCATCCTAATTTCATGGGCCCTGAAGCCAGGGCTGTTTCTTTACACCTAGAGGCCTTGGCGCCGGGCCTCAATTCCGCCCTGTTCCTTACCGTCTAAGACATGTTGGGAAAATCCCTAGAGCCAGGATCTTCATTCCTGCTAAGCCAGACAGCCGGAAGACACACCCAAATTCTGTCCCTCTTACTTCAGGGAACATGTCCACTTTCGGCAGCATTACAATTTTGGCACCAAATGTGCTAACTGCAATTCCACCATACAATGCGTAACTGGAAATGGAGGCAACATCTCCGATCCTGAACGATCGATGCGAGAATCCAGGATATGCACGGCTTATTTTGGCCTTTTCCCACTGAAACAAGGGCCAGTATTAAAAATGGCACGCTATCCTCTGTTTCACTCCCTGCTTTTAAACGTCTCCGATGTTTCTCCCTGAGACAGGGCCTCACTTCCGTCAGCCGGGCTTTTCTACGGTATAATTTTCCTTGTTTGCTTTTGTCCAAATTAGAACTTTTTATTTCACCTCTAGGAAACGTTGATCCATTATCACATACGTATGGAAATATTATCACACATGCTGTGAGATACGTTGTTTTTATTTTCATCAATTCTTTAATAAACAAACGGTTATAGCTGGGATACCTTCTGAGTTCTCAAGTTTTTTGTTTCGTGTTTTCTTAAACTGCCGTCGCACGTCCGAAACCGCTCACTATGCAGTGTCATGACCGTCTCTCTTTTCTGGCAAACATAAATTTGGGGATTGTCATCAATTAGTCTCTCGGGGATTGCATGATTTCCCCAAAGGCTTTCACAGTCTACTTTGTGCACTGAGTATCTCTTCAAACTTCAGTGCATGTTTCTACCATTTCATGCTTTCTTATTTGGCAATCTAGCTTCCACAAGAGCATTTCATGCAAAGACTTGTCTTGTTCTCCACTGGCAGGTAATTTCACTCAGATAGAGAATCAATAGGCTCAACGTGGAAAGGTTATCGCTGGAAGGTCTGTTTGATTCCACGGATCTCTCCTTTCTCACTAGGGAAGAAAATACGCTGTGCTAAATACTATACTTCATTGACTATTCTCAGGTCAGAAAGCGCACTTTCGACTTCTTGTCTTTCCGTCGCTGAGAGGATGATGGCAGTTGCCAAAAGTACATACTTGGAAGTTCATCCCAGCACAAACACACACACACACGCGCCCCCCCCACACACACACACACGAACACAATCACACACACACACTCACACGGTTTCCTACGTAAAGATTTCTTCCCTGTCATTGCTTTACCTAAAATAAGGCAACTGTGTGGCCACTGTCCCAACCCGGTTACACTCCTATTATATGTGCCTATCATCCTGAGGAGTAATTTGATTCAGGTGTTCTGGAAGTCATGCTGTGGGCTGTGTCTGTTGAATTCCCAGCGATGCAAGGGGACACACCCTGTGACTCCTTCCTGAATTGAGTGCTGATATTTGATTGGCTTATCGCGCACCTGATGAGTGGGTGGGGTGTTCGCGGTTGGTGGGGTTGACTTACAGAAGGGCTGATGCGCCAGAGAGCTCGTCATTTGAAGACTCTCTCGGAAGGGATAGCGTCTTTCTGCAACCTGCGGTCCCAGCAGAAAAACCTTGTGATCCTTGTTCCAGTCGACATGGAGGAAGACTCACTCTACTTGGGAGGTGAGTGGCAGTTCAACCACTTTTCAAAACTCACATCTTCTCGGCCCGATGCAGCTTTTGCTGAAATCCAGCGGACTTCTCTCCCTGAGAAGTCACCACTCTCATGTGAGACCCGTGTCGACCTCTGTGATGATTTGGCTCCTGTGGCAAGACAGCTTGCTCCCAGGGAGAAGCTTCCTCTGAGTAACAGGAGACCTGCTGCGGTGGGGGCTGGGCTCCAGAATATGGGAAATACCTGCTACGTGAACGCTTCCTTGCAGTGCCTGACATACACACCGCCCCTTGCCAACTACATGCTGTCCCGGGAGCACTCTCAAACGTGTCATCGTCACAAGGGCTGCATGCTCTGTACGATGCAAGCTCACATCACACGGGCCCTCCACAATCCTGGCCACGTCATCCAGCCCTCACAGGCATTGGCTGCTGGCTTCCATAGAGGCAAGCAGGAAGATGCCCATGAATTTCTCATGTTCACTGTGGATGCCATGAAAAAGGCATGCCTTCCCGGGCACAAGCAGGTGGATCATCACTCTAAGGACACCACCCTCATCCACCAAATATTTGGAGGCTACTGGAGATCTCAAATCAAGTGTCTCCACTGCCACGGCATTTCAGACACTTTTGACCCTTACCTGGACATCGCCCTGGATATCCAGGCAGCTCAGAGTGTCCAGCAAGCTTTGGAACAGTTGGTGAAGCCCGAAGAACTCAATGGAGAGAATGCCTATCATTGTGGTGTTTGTCTCCAGAGGGCGCCGGCCTCCAAGATGTTAACTTTACTCACCTCTGCCAAGGTCCTCATCCTTGTATTGAAGAGATTCTCCGATGTCACAGGCAACAAGATTGCCAAGAATGTGCAATATCCTGAGTGCCTTGACATGCAGCCATACATGTCTCAGCCGAACACAGGACCTCTCGTCTATGTCCTCTATGCTGTGCTGGTCCACGCTGGGTGGAGTTGTCACAACGGACATTACTTCTCTTATGTCAAAGCTCAAGAAGGCCAGTGGTATAAAATGGATGATGCCGAGGTCACCGCCTCTAGCATCACTTCTGTCCTGAGTCAACAGGCCTACGTCCTCTTTTACATCCAGAAGAGTGAATGGGAAAGACACAGTGAGAGTGTGTCAAGAGGCAGAGAACCAAGAGCCCTTGGCGCAGAAGACACAGACAGGCGAGCAACGCAAGGAGAGCTCAAGAGAGACCACCCCTGCCTCCAGGCCCCCGAGTTGGACGAGCACTTGGTGGAAAGAGCCACTCAGGAAAGCACCTTAGACCACTGGAAATTCCTTCAAGAGCAAAACAAAACGAAGCCTGAGTTCAACGTCAGAAAAGTCGAAGGTACCCTGCCTCCCGACGTACTTGTGATTCATCAATCAAAATACAAGTGTGGGATGAAGAACCATCATCCTGAACAGCAAAGCTCCCTGCTAAACCTCTCTTCGTCGACCCCGACACATCAGGAGTCCATGAACACTGGCACACTCGCTTCCCTGCGAGGGAGGGCCAGGAGATCCAAAGGGAAGAACAAACACAGCAAGAGGGCTCTGCTTGTGTGCCAGTGATCTCAGTGGAAGTACCGACCCACACGTAGGGGTGCACACACACACGCACACACACAGACACACACATAACTACACCCAGAAGCGCGCACGCAAACACACACACACCCACACAAACACGAACACCGTCAATCCTACATAAACTAATGAGGAGCCCAAGTTTCTGTCTCTACAACAGGGACAACTGGATAGTGATGGCTACATCTCAGGATGAGCCCGCATATGGGAAACATCAAGTTTTGGGGTCGTGAGTCTTCCGAACCTCTGGAGGGACTGTCTGAGTGTTTGTGTTCATGATAGGTGACATTCAGTGTGTATTTCTGAATATGACCTACCGACGTGTAGGTTTGCGTGTGAGGTAATTGCAGGGGACTCGGTTTCGTATTTTCTCTTGGGGTGTGTTTCATTCGTCAGTTGTTGGTCGGCATGAGAAGGTGAAAGGTGGCTCATGTGGGACATCCGTGGATCATTCTCGCCACCTTGAATAGTGGAAACTGGAATGCATTTGGAAGAGAAGAACGGTGCTCTTCTTTCTTCCCCGGGCTCGCCGTTTTTACACTGGTTCCTGAATGGACCTCAGGCGCCCTGGGACTTGTGCTCTTGCTGGAACCCACATAACGCCGGAAGCGGACAGACCGACTTGCCTGTTTCACGGTGCCCGCTTCCCATGAGTCGAAACGGAAAATTTTCCCACGGGCATGTAAGTCATCTGGAAGTAAGCTGTATTGATAATAAAGGAAAGCAAACACAGGAGTGTGTGTATTCAACTGAAATAAATTCAGAAAGCCCTGCAATCAATCTCACTGGGTGTGTTTAAAAATGGCATTTGGGGAATTTCTGGGTCATTTGTCCAGCTGCGAAAGCTGCATCTCTGAAGCACAGTCCCTGTCCCGCAGTGAGACTTATTGATCCGACGTGGTGTTTCCGTGGAAATGATTGTGGGAAATGGCCCCTTCCTTTTCTCTATTTGCTGATTAGACTTCATGGTCCCTTTCTCGTCAGGTACAGTGATCAAAGTTGACCAACCCCAGAGGAAAGCTGCCCAGGGCACAACTCAGGGCTCCGTAGAACCACAGAATCTTGGGCGCAACCCTGCTCAAGCACCCAAATGTGCATACGAACAGGGTCTCCGTGTGACGTGTGTGAAAACTACAGTGTGATGAGCATGACTGGCAGACAGCTTATCGATTGGGCTCCCCTCAAAATCGGTTATGAGCATTCAAGCACACCGATGCCCAGGTCCCGGCTGCAGGAATAAGACCCTCCAGGGTCTTGTGTGAAGCCTCGGCATCTGCATTGCTCATGCTTCTGGGGATCATTCTCCTGAAAATGGTGGCTCCTTTCTCCCTGTGGAGCATCTTTCTAAGCAGTGCTCTTTTCTTCCCCCAGGACACTTTACATCCGGCACAGGAAGCCTTCTGATGGAGCACACCTGGCCCATGAAAAGACAAGGGAAAGAAACGGGGCCAAAGGTCACAGTCCTCTCATCCCATCATCCTCCTTAAAATCATCCTAATTTCATGGGCCCTGAAGCCAGGGCTGTTTCTTTACACCTAGAGGCCTTGGCGCCGGGCCTCAATTCCGCCCTGTTCCTTACCGTCTAAGACATGTTGGGAAAATCCCTAGAGCCAGGATCTTCATTCCTGCTAAGCCAGACAGCCGGAAGACACACCCAAATTCTGTCCCTCTTACTTCAGGGAACATGTCCACTTTCGGCAGCATTACAATTTTGGCACCAAATGTGCTAACTGCAATTCCACCATACAATGCGTAACTGGAAATGGAGGCAACATCTCCGATCCTGAACGATCGATGCGAGAATCCAGGATATGCACGGCTTATTTTGGCCTTTTCCCACTGAAACAAGGGCCAGTATTAAAAATGGCACGCTATCCTCTGTTTCACTCCCTGCTTTTAAACGTCTCCGATGTTTCTCCCTGAGACAGGGCCTCACTTCCGTCAGCCGGGCTTTTCTACGGTATAATTTTCCTTGTTTGCTTTTGTCCAAATTAGAACTTTTTATTTCATCTCTAGGAAACGTTGATCCATTATCACATACGTATGGAAATATTATCACACATGCTGTGAGATACGTTGTTTTTATTTTCATCAATTCTTTAATAAACAAAAGGGTATAGCTGGGATACCTTCTGAGTTCTCAAGTTTTTTGTTTCGTGTTTTCTTAAACTGCCGTCGCACGTCCGAAACCGCTCACTATGCAGTGTCATGACCGTCTCTCTTTTCTGGCAAACATAAATTTGGGGATTGTCATCAATTAGTCTCTCGGGGATTGCATGATTTCCCCAAAGGCTTTCACAGTCTACTTTGTGCACTGAGTATCTCTTCAAACTTCAGTGCATGTTTCTACCATTTGATTCTTTCTTATTTGGCAATCTAGCTTCCACAAGAGCATTTCATGCAAAGACTTGTCTTGTTCTCCCCCTGGCAGGTAATTTCACTCGGACAGAGAATCAATAGGCTCAACGTGGAAAGGTTATCGCTGGAAGGTCTGTTTGATTCCACGGATCTCTCCTTTCTCACTAGGGAAGAAAATACGCTGTGCTAAATACTATACTTCATTGACTATTCTCAGGTCAGAAAGCGCACTTTCGACTTCTTGTCCTTCCGTCGCTGAGAGGATGATGGCAGCTGCCAAAAGTACCTACTTGGAGGTTCATCCCAGCACAAACACACACACACACACGCCCCCCCCCACACACACACAAACACACTCACACACACACACGCACACGGTTTCCTAGGTAAAGATTTCTTCCCTGCCATTGCTTTACCTAAAATAAGGCAACTGTGAGGCCACTGTCCCAACCCGGTTACACTCCTATTATATGTGCCTATCATCCTGAGGAGTAATTTGATTCAGGTGTTCTGGAAGTCATGCTGTGGGCTGTGTCTGTTGAATTCCCAGCGATGCCAGGGGACACACCCTGTGACTCCTTCCTGAATTGAGTGCTGTTATTTGATTGGCTTATCGCGCACCTGATGAGTGGGTGGGGTGTTCGCGGTTGGTGGGGGTGACTTATAGAAGGGCTGATGCGGCCAGAGAGCTCGTCATTTGAAGACTCTCTCGGAAGGGATAGCGTCTTTCTGCAACCTGCGGTCCCAGCAGAAAAACCTTGTGATCCTCGTTCCAGTCGACATGGAGGACGACTCACTCTACTTGGGAGGTGAGTGGCAGTTCAACCACTTTTCAAAACTCACATCTTCTCGGCCCGATGCAGCTTTTGCTGAAATCCAGCGGACTTCTCTCCCTGAGAAGTCACCACTCTCATGTGAGACCCGTGTCGACCTCTGTGATGATTTGGCTCCTGTGGCAAGACAGCTTGCTCCCAGGGAGAAGCTTCCTCTGAGTAGCAGGAGACCTGCTGCGGTGGGGGCTGGGCTCCAGAATATGGGAAATACCTGCTACGTGAACGCTTCCTTGCAGTGCCTGACATACACACCGCCCCTTGCCAACTACATGCTGTCCCGGGAGCACTCTCAAACGTGTCATCGTCACAAGGGCTGCATGCTCTGTACGATGCAAGCTCACATCACACGGGCCCTCCACAATCCTGGCCACGTCATCCAGCCCTCACAGGCATTGGCTGCTGGCTTCCATAGAGGCAAGCAGGAAGATGCCCATGAATTTCTCATGTTCACTGTGGATGCCATGAAAAAGGCATGCCTTCCCGGGCACAAGCAGGTGGATCATCACTCTAAGGACACCACCCTCATCCACCAAATATTTGGAGGCTACTGGAGATCTCAAATCAAGTGTCTCCACTGCCACGGCATTTCAGACACTTTTGACCCTTACCTGGACATCGCCCTGGATATCCAGGCAGCTCAGAGTGTCCAGCAAGCTTTGGAACAGTTGGTGAAGCCCGAAGAACTCAATGGAGAGAATGCCTATCATTGTGGTGTTTGTCTCCAGAGGGCGCCGGCCTCCAAGACGTTAACTTTACACACCTCTGCCAAGGTCCTCATCCTTGTATTGAAGAGATTCTCCGATGTCACAGGCAACAAGATTGCCAAGAATGTGCAATATCCTGAGTGCCTTGACATGCAGCCATACATGTCTCAGCAGAACACAGGACCTCTCGTCTATGTCCTCTATGCTGTGCTGGTCCACGCTGGGTGGAGTTGTCACAACGGACATTACTTCTCTTATGTCAAAGCTCAAGAAGGCCAGTGGTATAAAATGGATGATGCCGAGGTCACCGCCTCTAGCATCACTTCTGTCCTGAGTCAACAGGCCTACGTCCTCTTTTACATCCAGAAGAGTGAATGGGAAAGACACAGTGAGAGTGTGTCAAGAGGCAGAGAACCAAGAGCCCTTGGCGCAGAAGACACAGACAGGCGAGCAACGCAAGGAGAGCTCAAGAGAGACCACCCCTGCCTCCAGGCCCCCGAGTTGGACGAGCACTTGGTGGAAAGAGCCACTCAGGAAAGCACCTTAGACCACTGGAAATTCCTTCAAGAGCAAAACAAAACGAAGCCTGAGTTCAACGTCAGAAAAGTCGAAGGTACCCTGCCTCCCGACGTACTTGTGATTCATCAATCAAAATACAAGTGTGGGATGAAGAACCATCATCCTGAACAGCAAAGCTCCCTGCTAAAACTCTCTTCGACGACCCCGACACATCAGGAGTCCATGAACACTGGCACACTCGCTTCCCTGCGAGGGAGGGCCAGGAGATCCAAAGGGAAGAACAAACACAGCAAGAGGGCTCTGCTTGTGTGCCAGTGATCTCAGTGGAAGTACCGACCCACACGTAGGGGTGCACACACACACGCACACACACAGACACACACATAACTACACCCAGAAGCGCGCACGCAAACACACACACACCCACACAAACACGAACACCGTCAATCCTACATAAACTAATGAGGAGCCCAAGTTTCTGTCTCTACAACAGGGACAACTGGATAGTGATGGCTACATCTCAGGATGAGCCCGCATATGGGAAACATCAAGTTTTGGGGTCGTGAGTCTTCCGAACCTCTGGTGGGACTGTCTGAGTGTTTGTGTTCATGATAGGTGACATTCAGTGTGTATTTCTGAATATGACCTACCGACGTGTAGGTTTGCGTGTGAGGTAATTGCAGGGGACTCGGTTTCGTATTTTCTCTTGGGGTGTGTTTCATTCGTCAGTTGTTGGTCGGCATGAGAAGGTGAAAGGTGGCTCATGTGGGACATCCGTGGATCATTCTCGCCACCTTGAATAGTGGAAACTGGAATGCATTTGGAAGAGAAGAACGGTGCTCTTCTTTCTTCCCCGGGCTCGCCGTTTTTACACTGGTTCCTGAATGGACCTCAGGCGCCCTGGGACTTGTGCTCTTGCTGGAACCCACATAACGCCGGAAGCGGACAGACCGACTTGCCTGTTTCACGATGCCCGCTTCCCATGAGTCCAAACGGAAAATTTTCCCACGGGCATGTAAGTCATCTGGAAGTAAGCTGTATTGATAATAAAGGAAAGCAAACACAGGAGTGTGTGTATTCAACTGAAATAAATTCAGAAAGCCCTGCAATCAATCTCACTGGGTGTGTTTAAAAATGGCATTTGGGGAATTTCTGGGTCATTTGTCCAGCTGCGAAAGCTGCATCTCTGAAGCACAGTCCCTGTCCCGCAGTGAGACTTATTTATCCGACGTGGTGTTTCCGTGGAAATGATTGTGGGAAATGGCCCCTTCCTTTTCTCTATTTGCTGATTAGACTTCATGGTCCCTTTCTCGTCAGGTACAGTGATCAAAGTTGACCAGCCCCAGAGGAAAGCTGCCCAGGGCACAACTCAGGGCTCCGTAGAACCACAGAATCTTGGGCGCAACCCTGCTCAAGCACCCAAATGTGCATACGAACAGGGTCTCCGTGTGACGTGTGTGAAAACTACAGTGTGATGAGCATGACTGGCAGACAGCTTATCGATTGGGCTCCCCTCAAAATCGGTTATGAGCATTCAAGCACACCGATGCCCAGGTCCCGGCTGCAGGAATAAGACCCTCCAGGGTCTTGTGTGAAGCCTCGGCATCTGCATTGCTCATGCTTCTGGGGATCATTCTCCTGAAAATGGTGGCTCCTTTCTCCCTGTGGAGCATCTTTCTAAGCAGTGCTCTTTTCTTCCCCCAGGACACTTTACATCCGGCACAGGAAGCCTTCTGATGGAGCACACCTGGCCCATGAAAAGACAAGGGAAAGAAACGGGGCCAAAGGTCACAGTCCTCTCATCCCATCATCCTCCTTAAAATCATCCTAATTTCATGGGCCCTGAAGCCAGGGCTGTTTCTTTACACCTAGAGGCCTTGGCGCCGGGCCTCAATTCCGCCCTGTTCCTTACCGTCTAAGACGTGTTGGGAAAATCCCTAGAGCCAGGATCTTCATTCCTGCTAAGCCAGACAGCCGGAAGACACACCCAAATTCTGTCCCTCTTACTTAGGGAACATGTCCACTTTCGGCAGCATTACAATTTTGGCACCAAATGTGCTAACTGCAATTCCACCATACAATGCGTAACTGGAAATGGAGGCAACATCTCCGATCCTGAACGATCGATGCGAGAATCCAGGATATGCACGGCTTATTTTGGCCTTTTCCCACTGATACAAGGGCCAGTATTAAAAATGGCACGCTATCCTCTGTTTCACTCCCTGCTTTTAAACGTCTCCGATGTTTCTCCCTGAGACAGGGCCTCACTTCCGTCAGCCGGGCTTTTCTACGGTATAATTTTCCTTGTTTGCTTTTGTCCAAATTAGAACTTTTTATTTCATCTCTAGGAAACGTTGATCCATTATCACATACGTATGGAAATATTATCACACATGCTGTGAGATACGTTGTTTTTATTTTCATCAATTCTTTAATAAACAAAAGGGTATAGCTGGGATACCTTCTGAGTTCTCAAGTTTTTTGTTTCGTGTTTTCTTAAACTGCCGTCGCACGTCCGAAACCGCTCACTATGCAGTGTCATGACCGTCTCTCTTTTCTGGCAAACATAAATTTGGGGATTGTCATCAATTAGTCTCTCGGGGATTGCATGATTTCCCCAAAGGCTTTCACAGTCTACTTTGTGCACTGAGTATCTCTTCAAACTTCAGTGCATGTTTCTACCATTTGATTCTTTCTTATTTGGCAATCTAGCTTCCACAAGAGCATTTCATGCAAAGACTTGTCTTGTTCTCCACTGGCAGGTAATTTCACTCGGACAGAGAATCAATAGGCTCAACGTGGAAAGGTTATCGCTGGAAGGTCTGTTTGATTCCACGGATCTCTCCTTTCTCACTAGGGAAGAAAATACGCTGTGCTAAATACTATACTTCATTGACTATTCTCAGGTCAGAAAGCGCACTTTCGACTTCTTGTCCTTCCGTCGCTGAGAGGATGATGGCAGCTGCCAAAAGTACCTACTTGGAGGTTCATCCCAGCACAAACACACACACACACACGCCCCCCCACACACACACACAAACACACTCACACACACACACGCACACGGTTTCCTAGGTAAAGATTTCTTCCCTGCCATTGCTTTACCTAAAATAAGGCAACTGTGAGGCCACTGTCCCAACCCGGTTACACTCCTATTATATGTGCCTATCATCCTGAGGAGTAATTTGATTCAGGTGTTCTGGAAGTCATGCTGTGGGCTGTGTCTGTTGAATTCCCAGCGATGCCAGGGGACACACCCTGTGACTCCTTCCTGAATTGAGTGCTGATATTTGATTGGCTTATCGCGCACCTGATGAGTGGGTGGGGTGTTCGCGGTTGGTGGGGGTGACTTACAGAAGGGCTGATGCGGCCAGAGAGCTCGTCATTTGAAGACTCTCTCGGAAGGGATAGCGTCTTTCTGCAACCTGCGGTCCCAGCAGACAAACCTTGTGATCCTCGTTCCAGTCGACATGGAGGACGACTCACTCTACTTGGGAGGTGAGTGGCAGTTCAACCACTTTTCAAAACTCACATCTTCTCGGCCCGATGCAGCTTTTGCTGAAATCCAGCGGACTTCTCTCCCTGAGAAGTCACCACTCTCATGTGAGACCCGTGTCGACCTCTGTGATGATTTGGCTCCTGTGGCAAGACAGCTTGCTCCCAGGGAGAAGCTTCCTCTGAGTAGCAGGAGACCTGCTGCGGTGGGGGCTGGGCTCCAGAATATGGGAAATACCTGCTACGTGAACGCTTCCTTGCAGTGCCTGACATACACACCGCCCCTTGCCAACTACATGCTGTCCCGGGAGCACTCTCAAACGTGTCATCGTCACAAGGGCTGCATGCTCTGTACGATGCAAGCTCACATCACACGGGCCCTCCACAATCCTGGCCACGTCATCCAGCCCTCACAGGCATTGGCTGCTGGCTTCCATAGAGGCAAGCAGGAAGATGCCCATGAATTTCTCATGTTCACTGTGGATGCCATGGAAAAGGCATGCCTTCCCGGGCACAAGCAGGTAGATC